>NT_187535.1:0-109187 GCF_000001405.40 Homo sapiens | reverse complement strand
GAATTCTTTTTTGCATTAATCAAAATTTTACAGAAGAGATAAACAGTGATTTTTACCATTCATTCAACCATTTGCCCAAAGAGAGAGATGCCAGAAATATGACTGGTAAAAAATTACCCTTTTGCCAGCATCCCAGGCTTCTGGCTTCCCTTTCCCTGAGCAGCCCTAGTGACCTAGCTTGCCGCACCATCGTGCTGGGGCCAAGCCACATCATAAAGGAAAATTATCTCTTTTTGTTCTGGCCAGAGTAAAATATGTGCAATAAAACATAAACATTAGCCACTCTGCTTAGCACCCAATATCAAACTGGCAGTGCTTATATTTGCCCCTGGTTGGGCCCCGTCATCATTAATCCAACCTCTGACCAGGAGTTTCAACATGTGGTCTCTGGGCAAGATGGTTGCCCTGAGTAACAGAAAAGATAGGAAAGGGAAAGGAGAGAGAGAAAAGCACTGTCTGCGGCAGGGTGGGGAAGGTGAAGTGGTCAGGGAGGCCAGAGAGAGACCCACCCATTGCAGCAACACTGAAAAGTTGAGGTGGCTGCTTCTCAGTAGCAAAGGGATCTTTTCCAGCCATCCCATCAGCTCTCAAGATTCCCCTTTTGGGGAGGAAAAAGCTCCCCATGTCCCACAATCCTGTACATGCCGAATCATGTCACCCACAGCCATCAGCAAAGAGTGCAAGGCAGATTATTCCAAAAGGAATAGCAGTTAACATCCTGTAGTGCCAAACCTGTTCTTAGCCAAAAGGGACTTTACCAAGAACCCTCCTTTTTAAATGTACTTCAATGCATTGCTGTTCATTCAGAACGTGCCACTGTAAGTTAAATCTTTAGTAAGGTTTTGCCATTTCTATAAGACTTCGCTGCCTCCAAGGCCTAATGTATGAACCAAAAGGAACTCAGTTTTCCAGAAATTAAGGATCCCATTCTTACCTAAAATATTGGCTTTACTCTCAGGTTCTCTTGATTAACTTAGCCAATAATTTTGTTTCTACCTAAGCACACAAGAAAAATGAAACAAAGCAGTAGAACACAAAAATCCCTGTGAATTTTCAAAAGCCAAAATTATAACCAGTGCAATATTACTGCTTACTACTAGTTCCTTTCTGACCCAGTCAGATGTAAGAGGCCTCTACCTGGATCCAAACCAGTTAATTCCCAGATCAAATCTGTTCCTGGACCCAGTCCAGTTTGTTTCGTGACTCCAAACCCAGTTTGGATTAGAAATTTGCTCAAAGAAACTCAGAGAGCTCAAAACGCAAATCCATGGAGCTCCAAAATCTGAGAGTGAGCTTACCCACCATCCGGAGCCGCTCTGAGAGATCCATGGACACAAGTGGGTCCTCGAGTGCTGGTACCTCGAGTGTTCACTCAGCGCTCCTGGAGGTCACTAGAAGCTCTGCTTGGGATCCTGCTTCTGACACCATCTGATACAAGAAAAACGTCAGCTGCATTAAATTTAAAGGAGTTTAATTGAGCAACAAACGATTCTCGAATCAGGCAGTCCCCAGAATGACAGCTGATTCACAGAGACTGCAGGAGTACCTCGTGGTAAGAACAAATTCATAGACAAAAAAGGTAAAGTGACGTACAGGAATCAGAAATGAGGTACAGAAACAGTGAGATAGGAAACCTGAGGTGTAACCATATTTGAATGCAGTTTGAACATTCAACAGTCCATGAGTGGTTGAAGTATGGCCGCTGGGATTGGCCAACACTCAGCCATTGTTACAGGTGCATACTGTTAAGATAGGTTTTCAATTTTGTCTGACTATTAAGCTAGGTTACAATTCATCCACAAGGACTCAAATACAGAAGTACGGAGTCCTTCTCAGGACATATTTAGTTTGCTTTAATACCTGTATCATCTTCCCTTGAATGTGGGCAGGCCTATACTTGTTTTAATCAATGGAATAGAATAGAAGTAACATTCTGTGATTTCCAAGGCTGGGTCACAAAAACTCATGCAGCTTCACCTGTCTCTCTAAGAGCTCTCACTCTCCTGGTGCCCTGTCTTGGGCTTCTTCCTTTCAGAACCCAGCCATTACACTATGAGAATGAGAAGCCCAGTCCACATGGAAAAGCAATGTGTATGCATTCTTATCAGCAGCTCCAGCTGAGCCCAGCCTTTGCACCATCCTGGCCGACATGCCAGACATGTGAGCAAAGAGGTTGCCAAATAATTCAAGCCCCCATTCATTTGAGCCACAGACCAGCCCTTTGAGTCTCCCCAGTTGAAGCCCCAGACTTCATGCAGTAGAGATAAACCTTTTCTGTAGAATTCTGTCTGAATTCCACAGTTGTTATTTTATACTACACTTTGGAGTGCTTTTTTTTTTTTTAGAAATGGCAGTTCATACATGCTATAAATGGTAACAACAAAAATATCCTACTTTTAGTTAACCAAAAGGGATGAAAATGTTTTTTCAGACCTCATATGAACAGGAAGGTTTCTAGAGATGGAAGGCGGGAATCGATACCCAGAAGTTTTCAGTGAGAGGCTGTGACTGTTCTTTTTTTCCCCCCACATTCCACATAGTGTTTTAACTACATTTGCTAATTTACCAATCAAGTTAAGAAGACAAAATAGGCCGGGCGCAGTGGCTCACGCCCGTAATCCCAACATTTTGGGAGGCTGAGGCGGGCGGATCATGAGGTCAGGATATCGAGACCACCCTGGCTAACACGGTGAAACCCCGTCTCTACTAAAAAAATATAAAAAATTAGCCGGGCGTGGTGGTGGGCACCTGTAGTCCCAGCTACTCGGGAGGCTGAGGCAGGAGAATGGTGTGAATCCAGGAGGCGGATCTTGCAGTGAGCCGAGATTGCACCACTGCACTCCAGCCTGGGCGACAGAGCAAGACTCTGTCTCAAAAAAAAAAAAAAAAAAAAGAAGACAAAATAATCAACTGTTTTCAGTTGTCTTGGTCACAGTCTCATTCTCTAAATATGAGAGAGATGCATTAGAAAGTGAAAATGCAGATGAATGCCCTTTACCTCTGTTAACTATAAAATCAATCCTAGCCTTACAAAATTACTTGACAGCAATAAGATCATGAGATGTTCTCAATGTTGTAGAGAAGATGCTAACTTGTTTTAAATTTTTTGTTTAATACTTGTTAAAGGACAAGGAACACACAAAAAAATGTAAAAATAAATAATTTTCATAACTGCTGGCCGGGCATGGTAGCTCACGCCTGTAATCCCAGCACTTTAGGAGGCCGAGGCAGGCGGATCACGAGATCAGAGGTTTGAGACCAGAAACCCCATCTCCACTAAAAACAGAAAAAAATTAGCCAGGCGTGGTGGTGGGCACCTGTAATCCCAACTACTCAGGAGGCTGAGGCAGGAAAATCACTTGAACCTGGGAGGCAGAGGTTACAGTGAGCTGAGATCGCACCATTGCACTCTAGCCTGGGTGACAGAGTGAGACTCTATCTCAAAAAATAATAAAATAAAATAAAATAAAATAGTAACTGCTAAAATCTTAGTCTTCTTAACATTCAGAATATCTTTTAATTGTTAAGACTTTTAAGACTTGTTCATAATCTCAGTTTAACTCAGCATTTTTTCTAAAAGATTTTTCGTTACTAATTGACTTTCAAAAAAGCAGAAGATATATCCTTTTGCACTGAAGGTTGTAATTTTCCAAAGCTTTGACTTTTGTTTAATACTCCATAAAGCACATTGTATATTTTTGCTGAATTTTAAAATGTTGTCATTCTGTGAGGTAAAGAACTAAGTGCTAAGTGAAATGTGAAACCAAAGTCTTCCTTGGAAATGTGTTCCTCTGAGAAAAAATAAAAATGTGCTAAATATATCTCTACAAAGAAAGGAAGGGCATTTGTCCTGATGTCTACTCCAGGAATAACTTCCCTCAGGAGAATTTTGAAAGGATTTGAGCATTTTAAATGTCCTGAACTAAATTAGTTAATTAAAAATATGGGTGAGCAAAGTCCACTGAGGTTAAAAGGAGAACAATAGTCAGCAATCATTTATCACTGTGCCCTGGTTCAAGGATTTCAAGATACCTGATTAACAGTGGCAATTCTCATTTAGATTCGTTATCTGAGGGAGGAGAGTTGTTATTGATCCAACAGCTGACCTCACTGCAGGCTTTGAGTGTGACAATAATAATCTCTGCATATAGTAGGCCTGTAGTCATTGACAGTTTGAGTAACGATTAGATGAAACAGATGAATAAACAGCTAATTCCAAAAAACTCTCATTCCATCTCTATTGATGCTTTAGACTTTCAACATGCTTCATATCTCTCTTTTTATCTTTCCTTCCTTCCTTCTCTATTTCTTCCTTTCCTCTTTTCAAATGAGTTATTAAATTTTTTTAAAGGAAGTACTAGCAGAGTACAAACTGTGGAAGAAGAAAAAGTTTTCCTCTACCCTCAGTTTCAATATCCGAGACTCTGCAAATTTAACTGACAAAAGACTGATTCACAGGAGAAAACTGTATAGATTTATTACCATTTTACAAGCATGGGAGTTCGTAGACAAGAAGTGAAACTCAAAGAAGCAGTTAGACTTGGGGACTTACATGCCATTTCAACAATGGAAAGAGGCTTGGGCTTCAAGGAACAAGTTGAGAGAAAGTAACCGGAAAATATATAGGAGAAACTAATGGAAGATAGGGGTTATTTTAGTAAGGTTTCTTAGTGCAGACTCATCTCCATGCAAACTCTGTCTCCGGTAATAACAGTTGCTCCTTTCTTCCTGGTTTAGGAGGTAGGGAGCACCTTCACAAAGGGAAACTTGTGCCTTTTGGGTCGTAGCTAAGGAAGGGGAACAGAGACCTCTTCCTGCATTTGTTGATTCTCAATTGACTTCAGTCTAAAATAATCCTTATGCCAAAATGGCATATTTGGGGGCATATTTGGGGGTGGCATATTCTGAACACTTTCAAAATCCTTTTTATTTCATCACATCCTAATGACAGTGACTAAGAATGTCTTCTAAATTCACTATATAAATGGTAATTTAACTCAAGGTGGAAAAACTTGACCAAATATTAGTTTTAAACACTATAATTTTCGTGAGGAATGGAATGTCCACATGAAATCAATGCTTTTGAACTTTTTCTACTAAAAATTCATGAATGTCTGAGAGCAATGAGCTTGAGCTACATCAACACAATGCTAAACATCTGGAGGGGAAGTGGAAAATGCAAGCAATTGTCCAGATATTTTGTCTACACAAAATTCAGCCATACAGATGTGCTTTCCCGAGACCAAACAACTAGACAATTGGCAAAATTCATTCCATTTCTATCTGTATGTGAAACATCCCTCATCTACGCTTATTTTAACAATGAGCTACATCCTTCTTGAGTGGGATTTTAACCAGACCGTCTCTCCTACTCAACTCTTCTCTTCTTTCAATGTATCTGCATATGTTTTTAAAGTACAAAGGAATGAAAAAATAGCAAATTGTCTGTATCTTCTTATTTTAGAGTAAAGTAAGTGCAGAACAATGACTGGTTGGTTTGTATTTTCCTTGCAGTACCTAGCACACCAGGTGCAGTCAATAAACATTAAGCCATCAAATAAATCAGAATTTCAAATTGTGGTCTGCATTGAAGAATACATTACAGTCAGCTGCTTTTGCAGCAGGGTGAATTTCAGAAAAAGACTCAATTGATTGGCTTGTCTCAAACATTAATGTGCATACAAATCTTCTGGGGATATTTTTTTAAATGCAGATTCTGATGCAGTAGGTCTGGGCTGGGGCCCAAGACACTACATTTCTATCAAATTCTCAGGTTACACTGATGATGGTTGGTCTACAGCTGAGTAGCAAGCAGATGGGTTATTGGCAAGGGGAAAAGATTAAATCTGTCCCTTCACCAATTCTAAAGCATATCTATTATAAACAATATCCCTAATGTATTTAAGGAAAAAAATTTTAATAAAATAATTTTAATGTAAAATAATTGAATAACTCTAAATCATCAAAACATAAAAAACTGACAAAATAGAATCTGTAACCTGAAACTAAAAGGGCTATTTGGGGAAAAAAAACAATGGTTTACTAAATGCTAATAAAGTCCATGTTAATAGTAGAAAACAGCCAAAAAGATATGTCTCCAGCTAACAGTACAAATACAAACTAATAGGTACTTAACTTTAGTACAGGTTTTAAAAGTACCCTCTCCCTCAAGAAGTCAGTCTTTCAGGTGTACTTATAGCAAGAAAAAATAAATAAATTACATCTTCAAGTGTAGAATAGTTAACATCATAAATGGATCCATGATTTCAGTAGATTGATACACTGGATGGTCTGTTCTAAATTACATCTTCAAGTGTAGAATAGTTAACATCATAAATGGATCCATGATTTCAGTAGATTGATACACTGGATGGTCTGTTCTAAGAAAATCTTTATGATTCAGAATATTATGTGTTTTATTAAATTATTTTCTTCACTATTCTATCTAAATCATCACATAGTGTCTGAAACAGAAAAAAAAAAGTTATTCATTTAATCAACATTGAACTCAATCACTGAAAAAGCACTGTGCCAGACACTCTCTGGGGTTGTAGTACTGAATAGCACGGATTCTATCATGGATCTTGTAGTCTAACAGGAAGGAAATATGCATACATAAATAACTAGAACATGAATTCAAAGTGTAATAATTGTCATCACAAACATGCAAATAATGGGTTTTGGAAATTAAGAAGCATGAGCAGAATTGTGGTTAGAAAATAACCCTACCCAAAGGTTCTTTTAAAAAATGCCTGAAGTACTAAATTTTCTGAAAAACTCCCAGATCCAATAATTTAATAATCATGAGAATTCTCATTTGTATCTCCTCTTCCAATTCAAGCCAAAAGGGATCTTCATCTGATAAAGATATTAATAAAACACATAAACAGTACCAACAATTCCCCAAGTGAATACCTCCAATACTCAGTCAAACAGCTTTCCAAATGTGTATACAGCCAGTGATGTGCTGGTAACTGTTTCACAATCAGCCCTGGGGGGTGGTGACAGGAGCTCTAATTTGTAGACTCTACTAATTTCCATGGTGTAAGTACCCATGACTGATTTCGGGGTATTAATGTGAGATCACTAAGCTGTGAGGGGGGAAGATATGTTCACAATCAGCCCTCTCATATGTCTGATGACATTTGTGTTTAGTGGCAAAGAAGGATGAACGCTCTGAAGAAAAACTGAGTTTAAAACTTAGTTCTGAGATTAATCAGCAATTAAAACTTTGATAAATTACTCAGCATCTCTAGGTTTCAGTTTCTTCTTTTGTAAATGGGGAAATATTAATACAATCTGGTTGTTATAAGAAATAAACTAATATGTAAAAAAAATTATGTATCATTAAGTGCTATCATTGTTAACCAAAACAATTCTACTAGAAAATTAATCCAGCCAGGTGCGGTGGCTCACACCTGTAATCGCAGCACTTTGGGAGGCCAAGGTGGGTGGATCACAAGGTCAGGAGTTCAAGACCATCCTGGCCAACATGGTGAAACCCCATCTCTACTAAAAACACAAAAATTAGCCGGGCATGATGGCGCGCCTGTAATCCCAGCTACTCAGGAGGCTGAGGCAAGAGAATTGCTTGAACCCAGGAGGCAGAGGTTGCAGTGAGCTGAGATCACTCCACTGCACTCTAGCCTGGGTGACAGAGTGAGACTCCATCTCAAAAAGAAAAAGAATCTTTGAGTAAATTTCTAATCACAATCTCCACCTATAGCAAAGTAATATTTTTAATATCTTTTTAGAAATAACATTACCAGTCATCTCCTCTTGGGAACTGTTAAGACTAAATTTTAAAATAAGATGGTCTTGCATAGTCATGAAAATATTGGTTCTGTGGGCCATTGTATGAATATTCTGGAAGATTTATCAAGCATTTTCATTCAGTATTGAGTCTAAGAAAACTTTGCTTGACCTAGTGCTAACAAATTATACTACTCATTTGGGCTTTGGACTTACTGTGCCTTATCTTGGACTCTAATTACATAGTATCATAGCACAATATGAAAGCTAGAATGTGACCTTGAGTTGCAACTCTTTATGTACTGTCAATCCCCACTGCCATTCACCTCACTTATGGATCAGATTATAAGTGATTTTGTGGCAGATTGGATTGCCACTGTATCTTTTCATTGCCTCTTTCAGGGCTTGGCACATAGTACTTTCATAAGTATTTGCTGAATTCAGATGATTTCGTACTCTTTCTGAAAGAAGTTCCATTAACTAATTCCCCTAAGAAGCAAAAAAGAATTCCAAAGCCAAAAGTTCCATTAACTAATTCCCCTAAGAAGCAAAATAAGAATTCCAAAGCCAAAATGCTAGAAAGCGTACCCCCTCTTTTGGAGAATCATACGGCACATTAGCATAATAAAGGATTTGCAAAGTTTAGCAGTCAAGAAACCTGTTTAAAATTATTTAACCTAAAATTTTCTATTCAAGGAAGGAACTCCTATTAATAAGGTAACTATAAATGTTATTATCCAGATCTGGATATTTTCAACAGTAAAATGAGACACTGTTAATAACTATACCAAAAACAAACATAAACTGGGACTATACCAGATGAACCTGAACATATAGCCATCCTGTCTATGAACATCCTTTACAAGTGGATAGAAAAATCAAAATTCCCACAACTACTGTTAGATGGATCAAAGTTTAGGAAACAATGATTGATCTAAATCCCTCATTCTACTGGTGAGGAACATGAGGTCAAAGAAAAGTTAAATATTTTCCATTGGCAAGTCTCTTAGAACCCAGTTAGAGGTAGACCTCTGAATAAAATCTAGTTCATTGGAATGCCATTTTCAAATCAGTTTCTAATTTATTCAAAGGTCATTAATCCTGAAATTAATACAACTAATTGTTCGGCTATGTCTTCACAAAGAAAAGAAACTGAACTTACATGCCCCTTTTGGATATCATTTCATCATACACAAAGTATTGACTTTGGGGTATCATCAAATGTAAATTAGATGTCAGCTTGGGGCCCCTTGTCTCTTCAGAGATGTAGGAATAATTGCCTTGAGCCCGCAACAATTCCATGGCCTAGTAAAAGGCCAAGGTTTTACGCCAAAATTTCTGCAAATTCCCGCAGGCCTGTTTCTCATAGCCTCCTTTGCCATCTGGGCTCATGATTCCTCTGTGACATACTGCACTAACCCACACACAAACATAGCACTCTTTAGTTTCCACAAAACAGGTGTAGTCTCGAAAAGTTGCTAAAATATTTTGAAAATTTGTATAAGGGAGAAGAATGATTATTTCATAGCAATGCAAATAATAGTAACAATTAAGCTGAAGCATTCTTAAAAATATTTGTTGGCTCTCCATCCCTTGAATTTTTACTGGCCCCCATCTTCTTACCATTTTCTGGCTCTTTGCCCTTGCTCCTCTTCCCTTCTCTTTCCTCCTATCCAAGTGGGTATTTAACCTCCTCTTCCTCACTGGGTATTTAATCACAGAATTCTTTCCCCTATACTCATAAAACGAAAACAAAAACCTTTCCCTCCACCCTGAAGTCTCAATATTACCTAGTATTCCCAACGGTTATACAACTTCAGTGTTGGGTCTGTGTTGGAGGGAGGGTTCTCTATTTCAATCATTCTTCCAATTAAGATAGAGCGTGCTTTGAAAGGAATCCAGGTGCAAATAATATTCTGTGCCTCATTAAGCAATTATATAACTCACTTGGAGGATAATTGAGTTACTCTAAATGATGGTGACTTGGACTAGGGTGGTAGCAGTGAAAGTGTAGTGAAATGGACAGATATGAGACCCTTAGGAGTTAGAAGGAACAGGTATTGTGGTAGATTGAGTAGGTGAGGATGAAGAGGAATAATCGAGCACAACCCCAAGTTCTCTAGCTTGGGCAGCTACAGCGTGTAGCACCCCATTTACAAAGATAGTGAGCCCTGGGAGGGAGCAGATTCAGAAGGGGATACGATGATATCAGTTTTGGAAATGTTGAATATAAAGTATCCATGAAAGAACCTGTAGGAGGTGCTCTCTGGACAGTTGGATGTGTGTGTTTGGCAGTCAGGAAAGTGGAAGCAAGAGATATTCACAAATATCTGGCTCCGAGTCCTAGTTCTCCCACTTCCTAGGTATGTGCTTTTAGCAACTACTTAAACTCTCCATGCCTCAGTCTCTTAATCTGTACAGTAAGGATTACTATTATACTTCTATAGTGTAAAGATAGCTCAGGATTCCTAAGATAACACATATGAAGCTCTTAGCCTATCTCAATAAAAATAAGTAACTAAAAAAAAAAAGTAGCACCTCCTATGTGCCAGACACTCCTCTGAACACTTTATATATATTTACCCACTTTATAACAACCCTATATCATAGATACTATTATTGTTTCCATTTTCCAGATGAGGGAACAAATGCAGAAAAGGTAAGCAGCTTGCAAAGGCAGGAAGTAACAGATTTGAACCCATGCAGTCTGGCTCGAGTCTGCATACTTAACCACTGCACAAGACTTTCTCTTAATAATATCAGCTGAAATTGTTACAATCATAGATTTGGAAGTCACTAGAACATTAGAACATGTGCTCCCACATTATGTTCTGGTGACTTCCAAGTCTATTATTATAAGAAATTGGGAAGTTACCAAACAATAATGCTAATAATACCTCAATTTCATTGCATACTTATTCTTTGAAAGGCAATATTCTGAACGCTTTATATGAATATCTCATTTAAATTTCTCAACAGTTCTATGAAGTAGGTACTATTATTTCTCTCATTTTGAAGAGGAAGAAACTGAGACATGGAGAGGTTAAGTAGCCTGTTAATTTCACAAGGATATAAAATAATGAAGTAAAATTCAAACCCAGAGAACACCTGACTCCCACACTCTAAAATGAAATATTGGAGTGGATAAGAAGGCTATGTAGAGATGAAAAGAATGCATAAAATGAAGTCATGAGGAACACCTGGTTCCATTATCCTCCTAAGAAATCCTTTTAAATGTAAGCAATCACCTCCTCCTTCCCTTTGCCAAAGATGACTAGAAAGAATTCCTTCTTCTAGCCTTTTAGAGCACATTGTCTATATATCTCATGTACAGCACCTGGTCATGCTGTCATTACCAGACATTCATTTGTCCCACCAGGATTTAAACCCAGCCACACAAGGAGTAAGGGAGGAGACCACCCTTCATATTGTCTTATGCCCAATTTCTGCCTCCAAAGAAAGAAAAAGTAAAAACTAAAAGGCAGAAATGAAATCCACAAGCAGACAGCCCAGCGCCACACCTTAGGCCTGGTAGTTAAAGACCGACCCCTGATCTAATTGGTTATGTTATCTATAAAGTACAGACATTGTATAGAAAAGCACTGTGAAAATCCCTATCCTGTTTTGTTACGATCTATCTAATTATCAGTGCATGCAGCCCCCAGTCACATACCCCCGCTTGCTCAATCGATCACGACCCTCTCACGCACACCCCCTTAGAGTTGTGAGCCCTTAAAAGGGACAGGAATTGCTCACTTGGGGAGCTCGGCTCTTGAGACAGGAGTCTTGCTGATGCCCCCAGCCGAATAAACCCCTTCCTTCAACTCGGTGTCTGAGGAGTTTTGTCTGCAGCTCATCCTGCTACATTTCTTGGTTCCCTGACAGGGAAGCGAGGTGATTGGCAGATGGTCGAGGCAGCTCCTTAGGCGGCTTAAGCCTGCCCTGTGGAACATCCCTGCAGGGAACTCCCAACAGCCCGAGTGACGCGGATCCTGAGAGCGCCCCCGGGTAGGCACTTGCCCCGGTGGGATGCCTCGCCAGAGCAGTGTGTGGCAGGCCCCCGTGGAGGATCAACGCAGTGGCTGAACACCGGGAAGGAACAGGCACTTGGAGTCTGGACATCTAAAACTTGGTAAGACTAGTCTTTGAAACTTGCCCACTCCGTTTGAGTGGAAGCGTGACCTGATCACCCATGGCATGCCTTTATCAGCACTTCAGTTTTGGTTTTGGTTTTGACTTGGTTTGAACTGCTTGACAGGACCGGTCTTGGGAACTTGCCTACTCCATTTGAGTGGAAGCGTGGCCTCATCACCCACGGCATGCCTGTACTGGCACTTTGGTTTTTATTTTTGACTTGACTTGGATTGCTTGATACTTTGGTTTTGGTTTTGACCTGGCTTGGATTTCTGGATACTCTGATTTGGGTTTTGATTTCGGTTTGGTGCAAACTGCAAAAGTGTGTGTGTGCCCTTTTCACCCGTTCTTTGTTTTGTGGTGTGCGTGCAGTGTGAGCATGGTGTTTTGTCTGGAAGAAGCATAGGTCAGGCACAAATAAGCCCACCCTACTAGGAACTATGTTGAAAATTTTCAAAACAGAATTTAAGAGAGACTATGGAGTACTATGACATCAGGAAAACTTAAAACTTCGTGTAAGACTGGCCAGCATTAGAGGTAGGTTGGTCATTAGAAGGAAGCCTGGACAGGTCCCTTGTTTCAAAAGTATAGCACAAGGTAACCTGTAAGCCAGGGAACCCAGACCAATTCCCATATATAGACACTTGGTTACAGCTGGTTTTAGACCCCCCGCCCCCAACACACAGTGGTTGAGAGAACAGCAGCATAAGCAGCTGGCAGAGGCAAGGAAAGATTAGCAGAGAGAGAGAAAGAAAGAGAGAGGCAGAGAGAGAGAGGAAGAGACAGAGGCAAAAGGAAAGTCAAAGAGAGAGAGACAAAGTCAAAGAGACAAAGAGAGAGATATACAAGCAGTTAAGAAAAAAAAGTATACCCTATTCCTTTAAAACCTATAGGTTTTAAAGAAATTTAAAGGAATTTAAGGTAAATTTAAAACCTATAATTGATAATTGAAGGTATTCTCCGTAACCCTGTAACATTCCAATACCACTTTGTTGTCAGTGTAAACAAGGGCTTATCCCGAAAGCACTGAGGCCTTCCTATCAAAAATCCTTAACCCAGTAACCTGCAGATGGCCCAAATGCATTCAATCTGTAGCAGCAACTGCTTTGCTAACAACAACAAAAATAACTTTTAGAGGAAACCTCAATGTGAGCAGACCTCACCAGTTCAGAAGTATCCTAAGGAAAAAAAAGGAGAGGCAGAATTTATATAAAAGGAGTATTATATGGTAAATTCTTGTCCTGAAATAAATTAACTGGTTGGTTAAAGTAAGAAACATTTGTAGTAAGTCAGAAAGTTGAGGTATGTCGAAGAATTGTCTGTGAAAGTCATGAAAGAGAAAAATGTTATAAAAAAGAATTTATGCAAAAAATGTTGTATAATTTAAAAGTAACTAGGCCTCCTGAATGTAAAACTACTGAAAAAAAAAAAAAAACCAGTTTATGTGCAAGGTGTATAAGAAAAGTAAAAAATACCTTTGGTAAAAAGATTATAAGGAGGCATAAGAATGTACATTTTTACCTACATTAAAAAATTTAAAAAAATTATTGTTTTGAAGGTTTAAGCAAATTTTAAAATATTAATTGTAAAGAAAATTCTGTGTGTAACATATTAGCTAAAGTTAAAGAAGTATCATCCAGTTTTTCTGTGAACTGGACATTAAAGTAAAAACATAACAGGTTTTTCTTAAAGCACCAACCTGCTCTTTAGCAAAAATTACAAAAGGTTGAAAAGAGTCTATAAAATCTTACCTTATGGTCAAACATTAAAAATTAGATAAATATGTCTACAAGGTTTTATTAAAATTAGGTTTAACATTAATAACACACTAATATAGATAAAATTTAGCTTATCTGGTATAAAAATCATATGAGAAGCATTGTTAAATGTAAAATGGTATTTAGCTTTCTTTGGTTTAAAAACTAATAAAAATAGGTGCTAAAGGAAATTTCTCAGTAAAAAGGCACGAAGGACTATAAAGTCCACTGCCAAGGTCCCCACATTTAAAACAAAAGGTAAATTTCTTCAAAATTATATACTTGGTTTATCTTCCACTTTCCTTTCTCTCAAAAACTAAAAGTCTTTTAGCACATGTACCACCCCTAGAATTTCCGGTAAACCAGCACCAGCCTGAAGATCACATTCTCACCAAAGGGTGGAAAGAAGAAAAACTCTTGCCAGCCTGGGAAGGACCCTACCTTGTGCTGCTAATCACCAAGACTGCTGTTTGTACAGAAAAAAAAAAAAAAAAAAAAGGATGGACTCATCACACCCAAGTCAAGAAAGCGCCACCCCCTCCAGAGTTGTAGGCCATAGTCCCAGGGGAAAACCCTATCAAACTAAAGCTAAGAAAAATTTAACTCTTTTCATCTATTCTATTACTCTTTCTTCTTTCCTCATTCTATTGCTGACCATCTAGTTATTAACATAACCAAGTCAATTTCCCCTCAAACTATTGCACTTAATGCTTGCCTTGTTATACCCTGTGGGGACTTGCCAAGTCAAACACAGCTTTCTACTTCAGAAAAGTACTTCTGTCCCTCCTGACTCTCCTCAGACTGGGTGTTAGTAAATTAGGACCATTTAATCCGGGGAGATTTCGATAAAGACCCCAGAGCCAACCAGGAGTCTTGCCCCCCGATGTAGAGCTTTCATGCTATAGTTGGTCCAACGTTCTGTGGACCACTACAGAGCAAGGATAGACTGCCCCAACCGGTTTTTGTAATTTCCTGAAACCATACATTCATTTTACTAGAGGATCATAGAAGTTAAATACTTAAAACAAACTTTAGCAATTAAGACAGGATACCAAGATGCAAATGCCTGGTTAAAATGGATCAAATATTCCATCTGCATGTTAAACAAAAGCAATTGTTATGCTTGTGCACATGGCAGGCCAGAGGCCCAGACTGTCCCCTTTCTACTAAGGTGGTCCTCCAGTCGACCAGGTGTGGGCTGCGTGGGAGCTCTTTTCCAGGATTCTACAACCTGGAGTAATAAGTCATGCCAAGCTCTCTCTGCTATATCCCAAAGTCCGGCACCCTGCAGGTCAACCCCCAAGGGCCATCCAGCCTCCATCTCCCAACACTAAGTTCACTTCATGTCTCTCATGACAAGGAGGAAACTTAGCATTCCTTGGAGACCTGAAAGGATGCAGTGAGCATAAAAATTTTCAACAGCTTATTGATTGGTCAGCCCTCGTTCATCCTCGAGCAGACGTGCGGTGGTATTGTGGTGGACCTTTACTGGGCACTCTGCCGAATAACTGGAGTGACACTTGTACTTTAGTCCAATTGGCTATCCCTTTCACCCTGGCATTTCATCAACCAGAAGGGAAAAAAATAAGACATCATAAAGCGAGAGAAGCCCCTTATGGGTCTTTCGACTCTCATCTCTATTTAGACACAACTGGAGTCCGATGAGGAATACCAGATCAATTTAAAGCTTGAAATCAAATAGCTGCAGGATTTGAGTCAATATTTTGGTAGGTGACAGTTAATAAAAATGTAGATTAGATAAACTACATCTATTACAACCAACAGCAACGAGCTTTTCATGAGTTAAAAGAAAAACTCATGTTGGCCCCAGCCCTGAGGCTACCTGACTTGACAAAACTCTTTACACTCTATGTGTCAGAAAGAGAAAAAATGACAGTTGGAGTTTTAACCCAGACTGTGGGGCCCTGGCCAAGGCCAATGGCCTATCTCTCAAAACAACTAGACAGGGTTTCCAAAGGCTGGCCCCCAGGTCTAAGGGCCCTAGCAGCAATGGCCCTGTTAGCATAAGAAGCAAATAAACTAACCCTTAGGCAAAACCTGAATATAAAGGTCCCCCATACTGTGGTAACTTTGATGACTACCAAAAGACATCATTAGTTAACCAATGCTAGATTAACCAAGTACCAAAGCTTGCTATGTGAAAATCCCCACATAACCAATGAGGTTTGCAACACCCTAAACCCCACCACCTTGCTGCTGGTATCAGAGAGCCCAGTGGAACATAACTGTGTAGAGGTGTTGGACTCAGTTTATTCTAGCAGGCCCAACCTCTGAGACCATCCTTAAACATCAGTAGACTGTGAGCGGTATGTGGACAGGAGCAGGTTCGCCAACCCCTGCAAAGTGACTGAAGAAGATGACAAGCCCTGCTCCAGTCACACCCGGAAGCAGACTGGTCAACACACGGCCAAAGCATGAGAAAACTCATCGAGGGACTCATTTTCCTTAAAATGTAGATGTTTACAGTAAGGACTTCAACTGACCTTCCTCAGACTGAGGACTGCTCCCAGTGTATACATCAAGTCACTGAGGTGGGACAAAAGGTTGCTACGGTCCTATTATTTTATGGTTATTATAAGTGTACTGGAACTCTAAAAAGAACTTGGTGGTATAATGTTATTCTATACAAGGTATGTAGCCCAGAAAATGACCAGCCTGATGTGTGTTATGACCCACCTGAGCCTCCCATGACCACAGTTTTTAAAATAAGATTAAGGACTGAGGACTGGTGGGGGCTCATAAACGATATGAGTAAAGTGTTAGCCAAAACAGAAGAAAAAGGGGTGCCCAAACAAGTCACCTTAAAAGTTGATGCCTGTGCTGTTATTAACAGTAATAAGTTAGGAATAAGGTGTGGTTCTCTTAATTAGAAAAGAGGCTATATGGCAGAAAATAAGTATATCTGTCATAAATTAAGACTGTGTGGAAATAAATGTAAACACTGGTCTTGCGTTGTTTAGGCCACTTGGATTAAAAAAAAAAAATGAAAAGGATCCAGTCCACCTTCAGAAAGGAAAAAATGGCCCCTCCTGTACTAAAGGACAATGTAATCCCTTAGAGCTAGTAATTAACCAATCCCCTTGATCCTCGCTGGAAAAAAGAGGAGCGTGTGACCTTAGGAATCAATGGGGCCAGACTGGATCCTCGAGTAAATATCTTGGTTCGAGAAGAAGTTTACAAACGCTCTCCTGAGCCAGTGTTTCAAACTTTCTATGATGAACTAAATGTGCCAGTACCGGAAATTCCAGGAAAAACAAGAAATTTGTATTTGCAGTTAGCCAAGCATGTAGCCCAGTCTCTCAATGTCACTTCATGTTATGTATGTGGAGGAACTGTAATAGGAGATCAGTGGCCATGGGAAGCCCAAGAATTAGTAACTACAGACCCAGTTCCTAATGAATTCCCAGCTCAAAAGAATCACCCTGATAATTTCTGGGTCCTAAAAGCCTCAATTATTGGACAATATTGCATAGCTAGGGAAGGAAAAGAATTCACTCACCCCATAGGACAACTTAGTTGTCTGAGACAGAAACTGTATAATGGTACCACAAAGACAGTCACTTTAGTGGAGTTCAAATCACACGAGAGAAATCCATTTAGTAAATTCCCAAAGTTGCAAACCGTGTGGACCCAACTGAAGTCCCACCGGGACTGGACAGCCCCCACTGGATTATACTGGATATGTGGGCATAGAGCTTATGCCAAATTACCTGACCAGTGGGCAGGTAGTTGTGTTATTGGCACTATTAAACCATCTTTCTTCCTACTGCCCATAAAAACAGGTGAACTCCTGGGCTTCCCTGTCTATGCTTCCTGCGAAAAGAGAAGCATAGCTATAGGAAATTGAAAAAATTATAAATGGCCCCCTGAGAGAATCATACAATATTATGGGCCTGCTACTTGGGCACAAGATGGCTCATGGGGATACCAGACCCCCAATTACATGATCAACCAAATCATACGGTTACAAGTTGTCTTAAAAATAATCCCTAATAAATCCAGCAGAGCCTTGACTATTCTGGCCTGGCAAGAAACTCAGATGAGGAATGCTATCTATCAAAATAGATCAGCTCTCGACTACTTGCTAGCAGCTGAAGGAGAGGTCTGTAGGAAATTTAACCTTGCTAATTGCTGCCTACACATAGATAGTCAAGGGCAAGTAGTTGAAGACACAGTTAGAGATATGACAAAACTGGCACATGTGCCTGTGCAAGTGTGGCATGGATTTGATCCTGAGGCCATGTTTGGAAAATAGTTCCCAGCGCTAGGAGGATTTAAAACTCTTATAATAAGAGTTATAATAGTAATAGGAACCTGCTTACTGATCCATTGTTTGCTATCTGTACTTCTTCAAATGGTAAAAAGCTTCATCGCTACCTTAGTTCACCAAAATGCTTTGGCAAAAGTGTACTATGTGAATCACTATTGATCTGTCTTGCAAGAAGACATGGGTAGTAAAAATGAAAGTGAGAACTCCCACTATTGAGTGAGAGTCTCAAAGTGAGGGGAATAAGGGAGGCGACCACCCCTCATATTGTCTTATGCCCAATTTCTGCCGCCAAAGAAAGAAAAAGTAAAAACTAAAAGGCAGAAGTGAAATTCTCAGGCAGACAGCCCGGCACCACACCCTGGGCTTGGTAGTTAAAGATCGACCCCTGACCTAACCGGTTATGTTATCTATAGATTACAGACATTGTATAGAAAAGCACTGTGAAAATCCCTATCTTGTTTTGTTCCGATCTATCTAATTACCAGTGCATGCGGCCCCCAGTCACATACCCCCTGCTTGCTCAATCAATCATGACCCTCTCATGGCCACCCCCTTAGAGTTGTGAGCCCTTAAAAGGGACAGGAATTGCTCACTTGGGGAGCTCGGCTCTTGAGACAGGAGTCTTGCTGATGCCCCCGGCCAAATAAACCCCTTCCTTCTTTAACTAGGTGTCTGAGGAGTTTTGTCTATGGCTTGTCCTGCTACAGGAGCCCTTCACTCTTCACTAATTCCCCTCCAGCATCCAGTGCCTTTATCAGCCCCTCTTTATGAGTTTGCTGAATTAAACTGAAAAGGAAGGATTAGGAAGATGGAAAGCAGAGAAGGGAGCCTGACAAAAAGGGGCAGTTGATGAAGCAAGAAGGGGAAACACTGAAAAGCAGCAAGCAAAAGTTTCTTGGCCTACCCTCCTAGCCTGGGGAGGGAAAGACTAGTTGTAGAATAGAGTGAGAAGTGGAATTGTTTTCTAGATCCTTCTGCTACCTGGAAGGCTTGGGAAGTCAGGAAGGCCTTCATAAAGGAGGTGACACTGCAGTAAAGTCTTCAAGGAAAACAAAAAAAGAGATTCCACTAGACGTGAAGGTCATGAGGCACAGAGAGAGGAGCATTCCAAGGCACATTTGAAGAGCCACTCTCTGTCTCTTGATTAATAGGAGAATAAGGCTAAAGAACTCAGCAAGGTCTCTGATAAGAATCTTGTGTGCCATGCAGAACAGATTTGGGGGGCTCTTTGCCAAATTGCCAGCACTTGCCCTTTCTGCAGGAACAGCCTCTACTCATCTTTACCCTTCTGTTGCCATCCTGGAATGCAGGCACACTGCAGCCAGATTTTTAATTCCTTGAGAAACCAGAAATCTACATGTTCGTGTAAAATAACCCTAGTTTTAAGTACTGACAACCTCTTCACAGACAAAGGAAAACCACTGAAAGTTTTTAAGCAGAGAATAGGATCAAATTTTAATTTAAAAACAAATTATTGGGCATCCATCCGAAAAACCGACCATAAAGACTGCCTACTAGTAGTAGCCAGAATTAGCCTATTGCAATTGGACTAGTGAGCCTCAGGAAGCCCGATCCAGTGACAAAGTTGGAAAAAAGAGTTTATAATTATAAAAATATTTAGGCAGTAGAAGGACTAGACTTATAGACTTATAGGGATAGTAAACGAAAGAAAGACAGGTTGAAGACTTTTTCCACCTAAAGTTGTGTAGTGTTAAATGGTAAGCTGAGTTCACTTTAAAACATGTTAATTTTAAAATGCGTATGAAATACCTAAGAGGTGATGAGAAACACCATTAAAAATAAAATCATGAAAATTATGTAGCAACTTTACAAGGTGATCACGCATTAATGTCAAGTGGGGAAATGACTACAAATATATATCTATGCCATGATTACAAAAATCTCCAATGCTATACAAATTATATATGCATACAAAGGTGAGATGTAATTTTGAAAAATGAAACTGGTTTCATATGTTGAAATGACAGGGTTTTATGTATTTGTTTCATTCACTTGTAAAAATTGTTTTGTGGTGAAAGTAATAAAAAGGTGACCAATAGTTTCTGTGAGAGGTAAGAAAAGGTTGCCATAAACTAAAGAATTTAGGGAAGGCTTGCTGGAGGAGGTGAGGCTTGAACAAGGCCCTGAAGGAATAGAAGGCAACTGTTACACAAAGATGAATGTTTCCCTTGCTTCTACACAAAAAACTGCAACCACTTCACAGAACGTACAATATAATTCTACTATGTATAGTGGCAAAGGGGGAACAAAGCTATTTGCTACCTTGAAACTAATCTGATTTGCATCTAGAAATCTACTCAATTTTCAACAGATAAACCCATGTTTTTGGTTTAAAAAGTGGCTTGATATAATGATATTTTCAGGGATCTAGAAAGAAAGCCTGGATCTAGCACAGATTCAGTCATTAATTAGCTATCAAGTCGCTCTTTCTCTCTGGGCCTCTATTTTTCTTTTGTAAAATGGGGCAGTTGAATTTGTTGGTTTCTTATATTTCTATTCAAATGTAAATATTTTTATCTGCTAAGAATATCATATTCAGACTCTCCACATGAATCTCAAGGCTTATGAAATTATTGACACACCCTGTTTGTGTTATTTTATTGTTGATTAAAGGAGTACATTTTTAAAATCGACCATGCCTTTTTAACAAATGAGTTTGTCACTTAGAAGCAGCCAACCTAAAAGAACAAAGGAATGATGTGTTAAAGGCTAAGCTATGGTGCCAGCTCAGAAACAACACACTTGAGATTTAAGACACCGACTTCGAGGATTTCGTGTATGTATATATGTGCTAAACTAATATTTGGCATATGGCACTGCTATGGTCTGAATGTTTGTGTCCCCTCACCCCCTAAAATTCATATGTTGAAATCCTAACCCCTAAGGTGATGGTATTAGGAGGTGGGGCCTTTGAGAAGTGATCAGGACATGAGGGTAGAGTCCTCATGAATGGGATTAGTGTCCTTATAAAAGAGGTCTGAGAGATACCCCTTGTCCCTTCTACCATGTTGAGACAGAGAAATAAGGCCCCATCTACAAGGAAGCAGGCCCTCACCAGACACTAAACCTATCAGCACCTTGATCTTGGACTTAGCCGTCAGAACTGCGAGAAATACATATCTGTTGTTTACAAGCCACCTAGTCTAGGGTACTTCTTTTATAGCAGCCTAGATAGAGTAAGACATTAGACTAAGGTACTATGTCTCCAATAATTGAATACAAAAGCCAAGAACAAAGAGGCAGAAATAGAAATGCCCCCTCTCATTATTACACTCAATAACCCACTTGTAGTATTTGCGCTTTCTGTACCACAACCCTAGGTTTCTGCTGAGTTGCAGGTCCTGATTCTCAGAGAAGGAACACTTTTGCCAGGGACACAGTGGTGGTTCCACTGAACTAGAAGCTGTATCTACCATATGGCTAATTTAAACTCTGCCTGACAGCAGTAGTGAAAGAAAGGAGTTACTGTACTGGCTGAGATAATCAACCTTGAGAAGTTAGATAACAAATCCTGAGAAGAAAGAAGTATATCTACACAATGTGCGCAGGGAGAAACATGTCTATGAATGCAGGAGATTCACTAAGGCATCTCTTAGTATTTTCAAGACTCATAATAACTGTCACTGGCGAATTATAAGAACCACAACCCAATAACAGCAGGGAAACAGAAGGCTTAGAATCCTCAGAATGAGGCTCTGGATTACCCTCGAAAGCAAGCATATCGGTGGAAGTATTGACAGTGGGTAAGTGAAACCTGTAATGGATGGAGGAGGAAATAAGTGATATCAGTTATAGCCTCAAGACCACCTGTAGCAACACCTTAGTTGTTTTTCACTGATTCTCTTGCCTTCACTCTTCAAGAAAAATGCAATTTGAAGGTAACTCTGTGACTGTTTTGCTGTTGCTCTAACAGAATACCACAGAATGGATAATTTATAAACAACGTAAGTTTATTTGACTCACTGTTCTGGAGGTTGAGAAGTCCAAGACAGAGGGCCCGCACCTAAAGGTCTTTTTGCTGCATCGTAACATGGCAGAAGGCATCCCATGGTGAGGAAGTGCAAGTACAAGACAGAAAAAAGAGACTAAACTCCTGTGATAACTAAGGCACTCCCCAATAATAGTATTAGCCCATTCATGAGGTTGAAGCACTCATAACCTAATCACCTCTTGAAGGTCCCACCTCTTAATACCACCATAATGACAGTTACATTTCAACCTGAGTTTTGAAGGAATTTCAAACCATGTACCATTGAACTTGTATCTCCACTTTCCAAGAGAATGTGACATCTCTTGTTCTAACAAAAAAAAGTTGCTCCATATTTTAGATTAAGAAACATATATAATTGGAGGGCACAGATGGATCCGAATGTTGCAAGGGGTGGACTATATAAGGTAAGGCTTTTTGCCAAATTTTCAGATTGTATTGTTTTCAGTTGTCTTTGAGACAGTTGCCACCATGACCATCATATGCAGTGTAGACTCATGAAGTTTTGCTGTCTGAGGGTAACCAGCCACACTCCAGAGTCTCTATCTTCTGCCATTTTCCATCTGACTCAGATTCAGGTGAAATACACCAGACAGTATTGGTGTAAATTTCTGAGAAGCTGCTAAAGATGTTTGATGATACAAACACGTAGTGTTGAGGAGTTAACTCCCTGTAGGACAAACTTCGATCATTAGGAATCAAGAAGTGGGGGAGGGCCAGGTAGATAAATTCTTCTTACTTCCCTCACTCCAATGGAATGTTCTAACTACTGATTTTGCCATACAGCCTGAGTGGTTGACCTGCTGCATGACCTGCTATTTCTTCCAGATTGTTGTGAAGTAACAACCAATATGGTACCTTGTATGGCTTACCATCCTTACCTGCCTCACTTCGCCTTCCTCTCACTCTGGACGTATACCTCTCAAAGCATTAGCACTTAGTCCTTGCCTCAGATTCTATTTTCTAGGAAACCCATGCTAAACAACTACTTTACCTAGACTCTTTTGAAATTAGATAGGAACATGCAATAGGATTCCAACCAATCGAATATAAAGAGAAATTCTACATACCACTTCCAAACTTGGCACATGAAAATTTCTGTGCATTCTCAGCTCTCCTTCTTTCCCCTATGGAATATCTAAAAGGAAAAAAAAAAAACAAGGCCTTCTTGTAAGCCTATATGTAGTAGAACTTCTATTAACCTAGGTCTCTGAGTAGATGAGAGCTGTCTGCTGACTTGTTCACATTCCCACTACCATTACATGAACATGAAATGAGGTTCTATTACCAATATATATGTGAGGTCTATTTATCACAGTAATCATCATACCCTGGTTAATACAACTATGTTGTCATTAAGGCAAATAACTATAATTAGCAAAGATCAGGGCCTTTAAAAAGGTACAGTGCTGCAGCTGGAGATCTGAGAATGGGCAGACTGCCTCCTCAAGTGGGTCCCTGACCCCTGACCCCTGAGCAGCCTAAGTGGGAGGCACCCCCCGGTAGGGGCAGACTGACACCTCACACGGCCGGGTACTCCTCTGAGACAAAACTTCCAGAGGAACGATCAGACAGCAGCATTCGCGGTTCGTGAAAAACCACTGTTCTGCAGACACCGCTGCTGATACCCAGGCAAACAGGGTCTGGAGTGGACCTCTAGCAAACTCCAACAGACCTGCAGCTGAGGGTCCTGTCTGTTAGAAGGAAAACTAACTAACAGAAAGGACATCCACACCAAAAACCCATCTGTACATCACCATCATCAAAGACCAAAAGTAGATAAAACCACAAAGATCGGGAAAAAACAGAAGAAAAACTGGAAACTCTAAAAAGCAGAGCACCTTTCCTCCTCCAAAGGATTGCAGTTCCTCACCAGCAATAGAACAAAGCTGGATGGAGAATGACTTTGACGAGTTGAGAGAAGAATGCTTCAGACGATCAAACTACGAGCTACAGGAGGAAATTCAAACCAAAGGCAAAGAAGTTGAAAACTTGGAAAAAAATTTAGACAAATGTATAACTAGAATAACCAATACAGAGAAGTGCTTAAAGGAGCTGATGGAGCTGAAAGCCAAGGCTCAAGAACTACGTGAAGAATGCAGAAGCCTCAGGAGCCGACGAGATCAACTGGAAGAAAGGGTATCAGTGATGGAAGATGAAATGAATGAAATGAAGCAAGAAGGGAAGTTTAGAGAAAAAAGAATAAAAAGAAACGAGCAAAGCCTCCAAGAAATATGGCACTATGTGAAAAGACCAAATCTACATCTGATTGGTGTACCTGAAAGTGACGGGGAGAATGGAACCAAGTTGGAAAATGCTCTGCAGGATATTATGCAGGAGAACTTCCCCAATCTAGCAAGGCAGGCCAACATTCAGATTCAGGAAATACAGAGAATACCACAAAGATACTCCTCGAGAAGAGCAACTCCAAGACACATAATTGTCAGATTCACCGAAGTTGAAATGAAGCAAAAAATGTTAAGGGCAGTCAGAGACAAAGGTCGGGTTACCCACAAAGGGAAGCCCATCAGACTAACAGCGGATCTCTCGGCAGAAACTCTACAAGCCAGAAGAGAGTGGGGGCCAATATTCAACATTCTTAAAGAAAAGAATTTTCAACCCAGAATTTCATATCCAGCCAAACTAAGCTTCATAAGTGAAGGAGAAATAAAATACTTTACAGACAAGCAAATGCTGAGAGATTTTGTCACCACCAGGCCTGCCCTAAAAGAGCTCCTGAAGGAAGCACTAAACATGGAAAGGAACAACTAGTACCAGCTGCTGCAAAATTATGCCAAAATGTAAAGACCATCGAGACTAGGAAGAAACTGCATCAACTAACGAGCAAAATAACCAGCTAACATCATAATGACAGGATCAAATTCACACATAACAATATTAACTTTAAATGTAAATGGACTAAATGCTCCAATTAAAAGACACAGACTGGCAAACTGGATGAAGAGTCAAGACCCATCAGTGTGTTGTATTCAGGAAACCCATCTCACACGAAGAGACACATATAGGCTCAAAATAAAAGGATGGAGGAAGATCTACCAAGCAAATGGAAAACAAAAAAAGGCAGGGGTTGCAATCCTAGTCTCTGATAAACAGACTTTAAACCCACAAAGATCAAAAGAGACAAAGAAGGCCATTACATAATGGTAAAGGGATCAATTCAACAAGAAGAGCTAACTATCCTAAATATATATGCACCCAATACAGGAGCACGCAGATTCATAAAGCAAGTCCTGAGTGACCTACAAAGAGACTTAAACTCCCACACATTAATAATGGGAGACTTTAACACCCCACTGTCAACATTAGATAGATCAACGAGACAGAAAGTCAACAAGGATACCCAGGAATTGAACTCAGCTCTGCACCAAGCGGACCTAATAGACATCTACAGAACTCTCCACCCCAAATCAACAGAATATACATTTTTTTCAGCACCACACCACACCTATTCCAAAATTGACCACATAGTTGGAAGTAAAGTTCTCCTCAGCAAATGTAAAAGAACAGAAATTATAACAAACTATCTCTCAGACCACAGTGCAATCAAACTAGAACTCAGGATTAAGAAATTCACTCAAAACTGCCCAACTACATGGAAACTGAACAACCTGCTCCTGAATGACTACTGGGTACATAACGAAATGAAGGCAGAAATAAAGATGTTCTTTGAAACCAACGAGAACAAAGACACAACATATCAGAATCTCTGGGACACATTCAAAGCAGTGTGTAGAGGGAAATTTATAGCACTAAATGCCCACAAGAGAAAGCAGGAAAGATCCAAAATTGACACCCTAACTTCACAATTAAAAGAACTAGAAAAGCAAGAGCAAACACATTCAAATGCTAGCAGAAGGCAAGAAATAACTAAAATCAGAGCAGAACTGAAGGAAATAGAGACATAAAAAACCCTTCAAAAAATTAATGAATCCAGGAGCTGGTTTTTTGAAAGGATCAACAAAATTGATAGACCGCTAGCAAGACTAATAAAGAAAAAAAGACAGAAGAATCAAGTAGATGCAAAAAAAAATTATGAAGCGGATATCACCACCAATCCCACAGAAATACAAACTACCATCAGAGAATACTACAAACAACTCTACGCAGATAAACTAGAAAATCTAGAAGAAATGGATAAATTCCTTGACACATACACTCTCCCAAGACTAAACCAGGAAGAAGTTGAATCTCTGAATAGATCAATAACAGGTTCTGAAATTGAGGCAATAATTAATAGCTTACCAACCAAAAAAAGTCCAGGAACAGACGGATTCACAGCCAAATTCTACCAGAGGTACAAGGAGGAACTGGTACCATTCCTTCTGAAACTATTCCAATCAATAGAAAAAGAGGGAATCCTCCCTAACTCATTTTATGAGGCCAGCATCATTCTGATACCAAAGCCAGGCAGAGACACAACCAAAAAAGAGAATTTTAGACCAATATCCTTGATGAACATTGATGCAAAAATCCTCAATAAAATACTGGCAAACCGAATCCAGCAGCACATCAAAAAGCTTATCCACCACGATCAAGTGGGCTTCATCCCTGGGATGCAAGGCTGGTTCAATATACGCAAATCAATAAATGTAATCCAGCATATAAACAGAACCAAAGACAAAAACTACATGATTATCTCAACAGATGCAGAAAAGGCCTTTGACAAAATTCAACAACGCTTCATGCTAAAAACTCTCAATAAATTAGGTATTGATGGGACGTATCTCAAAATACTAAGAGCTATCTCTGACAAACCCACAGCCAATATCATACTGAATGGGCAAAAACTGGAAGCATTCCCTTTGAAAACTGGAACAAGACAGGGATGCCCTCTCTCACCACTCCTATTCAACATAGTGTTGGAAGTTCTGGCCAGGGCAATTAGGCAGGAGAAGGAAATAAAGGGTATTCAATTAGGAAAAGAGGAAGTCAAATTGTCCCTGTTTGCAGATGACATGATTGTATATCTGGAAAACCCCATTGTCTCAGCCCAAAATCTCCTTAAGCTGATAAGCAACTTCAGCAAAGTCTCAGGATACAAAATCAATGTACAAAAATCACAAGCATTCTTATACACCAATAACAGACAAACAGAGAGCCAAATCATGAGTGAACTCCCATTCACAATTGCTTCAAAGAGAAGAAAATACCTAGGAATCCACCTTACAAGGGACGTGAAGGACCTCTTCAAGGAGAACTACAAACCACTGCTCAATAAAATAAAAGAGGATACAAACAAATGGAAGAACATTCCATGCTCATGGGTAGGAAGAATCAATATCGTGAAAATGGCCATACTGCCCAAGGTAATTTATAGATTCAATGCCATCCCCATCAAGCTACCAATGACTTTCTTCACAGAATTGGAAAAAACTACTTTAAAGTTCATCTGGAACCAAAAAAGAGCCCGCATCACCAAGTCAATCTTAAGCCAAAAGAACAAAGCTGGAGGCATCACGCTACCTGACTTCAAACTATACTACAAGGCTACAGTAACCAAAACAGCATGGTACTGGCACCAAAACAGATAGTGATCAATGGAACAGAACAGAGCCCTCAGAAATAACGCCACATACTACACCTATCTGATCTTTGGCGAACCTGAGAAAAACAAGAAATGGGGAAAGGATTCCCTATTTAATAAATGGTGCTGGGAAAACTGGCTAGCCATACGGAGAAAGCTGAAACTGGATCCCTTCCTTACACCTTATACAAAAATTAATTCAAGATGGATTAAAGACTTAAATGTTAGACCTAAAACCATAAAAACCCTAGAAGAAAACCTAGGCATTACCATTCAGGACATAGGCATGGGCAAGGACTTCACAACTAAAACACCAAAAGCAATGGCAACAAAAGCCAAAATTGACAAATGGGATCTAATTAAACTAAAGAGCTTCTGCACAGCAAAAGAAACTACCATCAGAGTGAACAGGCAACCCACAAAATGGGAGAAAATTTTCACAACCTACTCATCTGACAAAGGGCTAATATCCAGAATCTACAATGAACTCAAACAAATTTACAAGAAAAAAACAAACAACCCCATCAAAAAGTGGGTGAAGGACATGAACAGACACTTCTCAAAAGAAGACATTTATGCAGCCAAAAAACATGAAAAAATGCTCACCATCACTGGCCATCAGAGAAATGCAAATCAAAACCACAATGAGATATCATGTCACACCAGTTAGAATGGCAATCATTAAAAAGTCAGGAAACAACAGGTGCTGGAGAAGATGTGGAGAAATAGGAACACTTTTACACTGTTGGTGGGACTGTAAACTAGTTCAACCATTGTGGAAGTCAGTGTGGCGATTCCTCAGGGATCTAGAACTAGAAATACCATTTGACCCAGCCATCCCATTACTGGGTATATACCCAAAGGATTATAAATCATGCTGCTATAAAGACACATGCACACGTATGTTTATTGCGGCACTATTCACAATAGCAAAGACTTGGAACCAACCCAAATGTCCAACAATGATAGACTGGATTAAGAAAATGTGGCACATATACACCATGGAATACTATGCAGCCATAAAAAATGATGAGTTCATGTCCTTTGTAGGGACATGGATGAAATTGGAAATCATCATTCTCAGTAAACTATCGCAAGAACAAAAAACCAAACACCGCATATTCTCACTCATAGGTGGGAATTGAACAATGAGAACACATGGACACAGGAAGGGGAATATCACACTCTGGGGACTATTGTGGGGTTGGGGGAGGGGGGAGGGATAGCATTGGGAGATATACCTAATGCTAGATGACGAGTTAGTGGGTGCAGCGCACCAGCATGTCACATGTATACATATGTAACTAACCTGCACATTGTACACATGTACCCTAAAACTTAAAGTATAATAATAAAAAAAAAGGTGTAGTGCTAATTTTGAAAGTCATGGTTTTTTTTCTGCTTACTTGAAACCATATTTTATTTGTAAATTTGTATACATTAAATGAAACAACAAAATCATTATATGTTTTTCCAAAATCTATAGTTAATAGGTCCTCTTTAAAAGCCACTTCCACCCCCTTACCCTCCAACCATCACACAGCCCCAGAAAAAATCCAAATGATCTGAAGTGTCAGATGCTCATCAGTATAGACATTTTTGTGCTGGTTTTACTAAGACTATAATCTTAGGAATGCAAAAGAAACTAATCCAGATTCAACCATCGAAACTAACAGACTTCTGCATTTGTATACTACATGTTACTCATGAGTAAGAACAACTATTCTCTAAAAATTAGAAACATCACCTGGGGAGGGATACTTGATTTTTTAAAATTTTATAGTAGATGGTGCTCTCTATTCTTCAGGAGAACTGTATACATAACCATTTCTCTCATTTGCAATCACTGCTCAATGGGCTCAATCTTTTATACAAACAACTCAAAAACCTCCACTAAATTCATTCTCTTTCTCCCTCTTGATATCTACACAATCACTCCCTAAAGATAAGCCTGTTATATAGTGGAAATAGTAAATACCTACCCTTCTCTCCCAGCACTTCATCTATTAGGAAAAGAACAGATGCTGGGTCAGTCATGTGCTAAGAATGAATGACATTAACACATCAGAAAAGTTGCTAGGGAGGAACACAACCCAAATGAAAGATCAGGGAAGGGGTGAGTCAGCAACGCTGGAGGAAGTCAACATCTGTGGCTTCTTGCTGGAGGGAAAGAAACAGTCCATTATCAGTAAACGGTGCTGGGAAAACTGATATCCATGTGCAGAAGAATGAAACTAGACCCCTATCTCTTGCCATATGCAAAAATAAAATAAAAATGGATGAAGGACCTAAATCTAAAACCTCAAACTATTAAACTACTACAAGATAATATTGGGGAAAGTCTCTAGGCCATTGGTCTGAGCAAAAATTTATTGAGCAATACCCCACAAGCACAAGCAACCAAAGCAAAAATGTACAAACGGGATCACAGCAAGTTAAATAGCTTCTTCCCAGAAAAGGATACAATCAACAAAGTGAAGAGACAACCCATATAATGGGAGAATGTGTTTGCAAACTACCCATCTGACAAGAGGGTAATAACCAGAATATGTAAGGAGCTCAAACAACTCTATAGAAAAAAATGTAATAATTTGATCAAAGAATAGGCAAAAGATTTCAATAGACATTTCTCAAAAGAAGACATACAAATGGCAAACAGACATATGAAAAGGTGCTCAATATCAAATCACCATTTGATTTGCATTCGAAATGCAAATCAAAACCACAATAAGATATCATCACACCCTAGTAAAAATGCCTTATATCCAAAAGACAGGCAACGACAAATGCTGGAAAGGAGGTGAAGGAAAGGGAACCCTCATACACTGTTGGTGGGAAGATAAATTAGTAAAAACATTATGGGGAACAGTTTGGAGGTTCCTCAAAAAAACTAAAAATTGAGCTACCATGTGATCCAGCAATCCCACTACTGCATATATACCCCAAAGAAGGGAAATCAGTATATTGAAGCGATATCTGCACTCCTATATTTGTTGCAGCACTGTTTACAACAGCTAAGAATTGGAAACAACCTGTGTTAATCAAGATATGAATATATAAAGAAAACGTGGTACATATACACAGTGGAGTACTACTCAGCCAAAAAAAGAATGATATCCTTTCATTTGCAATAACGTGGATGGAACTGGAGATCATTATGTTAGCTAAAATAAGCCAGACACAGAAAGACAAACACCACATGTTCTCACTTATTTGTGGGGTCTAAAAACCAAAACAATTGAACTCATGGACAAAGAGAGTAGAGGATAGTTACCAGAGGCTGGGAAGGGTAGTTGGGGGCTGGTGGGGTGGTGGAGATAGTTAGTGGGTACAAACAAAATAGAAAGGATGAATAAGACCTACTATTTGATAGCACAATAAGGTGACTATAGTCAATAATAACTTAACTGTACATTTCAAAATTACTTAAAGAGTGTAATTGGACTTTTTGTAACTCAAAGGATAAATGCTTGATGGGGTGAATACCCTATTCTCCATGATGTACTTATTTCACATTGAATGCCTGTATCAAAATATCTCATGTACTCCATAAATACATCCACCTACTATATACCCACAAAAATGTTTAAAAATTGAAATTAGAGGAAAGAAACAGTTCATAGATCTTGCTAGGTCTCAGCTTCACTATTGGGACACCTTAAATGGAGGAAAAACTTTACATTTTCTTTGTTTATTCATTCAACATATATTTATTGAGAACCTATTATACAACAGGTGCAGTCACTAGGAACTTACAAGATAATTAGGTACCTCTTTGTATGGAGCTTGTGTTCTAGTCTGGAAACTCCATATTACACTTTCTACAAGTCAAAGATGCCAAGGGAGCCCCACATGCTTTTCTTAGAAAAATAAATTGAAAATAAGTTATTTTTATGATCTTAGACTTCAATTATAAAGCTTCTAAAAGTATCCTTCCATGGTTTAAGATAGAAATCTCAGGACTTCGGTTTCTGAACTAAAAATCAGAACATAACTTCTGACAAGTAGTAGTTCAGCCATTTATCCAAAGACCTTAGGAGAGAGGTTTTTTTCCCTCCTAAGGTCTTTAAATACATTATTTGATTTGCTCCTGTGAGTTAGGTATTGGATCCCCATCTTCAGCTGAAAAATACAGAGCTTCAGAGAGATTAAATAGAGTCCCAGAGAAGCTAAGTAAGGTCACATATCCGTTCTTTCATTTTTGTTTATTTATTGAGTATTCATACTTACACATATTTATTGGGCATCCATATATTTTGGAATGCATTTATTGGGCATCCACTATCAATCATGGTGTGTGTGTATATTAGCCAAGGTTCTCCAGAGAGACAGAGAGACTTACAGAAATTGGCTCATGAGATTATGGAGGCCAAGAAGTTCCATGATCTGTTGTCTGCAAGCTGGAAAACAAGGAAAGCCAGTGGTGTGATTCAGTCTGAGTCAAAAGGCCCAAGAACCAGGTGCACCAATGTCCAAGGGCAAGAAAGGATGAGTGTCCCAACTAAACAGAAGCAAATTTGCCCTTCCTCTGCCCTTTTGTTCTATTCATGGCCTCAACAGACTGGATAATACCCATCCACATTGGTAAGGGTGATTTTCTTTACACAGACTCCCAATTCAAATGCTGATCTCTTCCAGATACACTGTCACAAACACAGACAGAAATTGTGTTTTACCAGCTATCTGGACGTCCCTTACCCCAATCAAATTGACACCTAAAATTAGCCGTCATGGTGTATACATGCTATTCTGGACAGGAAAGAGAACAATGAACAATAGAGACACCTCCCCTCTCCCGATCCCACCAAAAGAAAACACACCTGCCCTCATGGAGATTGCCTCCTGGAAGGAAGAAAAAAATGTACATGAATAAAATACATGCTTATTAGATAGTAAAACATACTAAAGGGAAGAATAAAGCAGGGGAAAAGGAAAGGATATGTTCACGTAGGTGCTTCAATTTCAGATAGGTAAGCCAAGGAAGGACTGTCTTAAAAATATGACAGGTAAGCAAACAGCCCAGGAGGTGAGGGAGTGAGCTATGTGGTTATGGGAGATGAGAGGAGCCCTCCAGTGTGAGATTACATAAGTGCAAAGAGTTGGGAGAACACTGACCCGAGTTGGGAGAATGCTGGCCTGGGTGGGGAGGACGCTGGCCTGTTGGAGTTTAGTCATGAGACCCACGGGCTGCAGTGGAATAATCAAGGGGATAAGCAGTAATAAAAAGGGTCAAGGAAGGAAAGAGATGAAAGACCAAGCCAAAACTTCAGCATTTACTCAGTCATTGTAAGAACGTTGGCTTTTACTCAAAGCTGAATCAAAGGAGGGTGCAGGGTATTGGAAAGGTGTGGTGTGACTTATATTTTAAGAGAATCACTTTGCCCGTTTTGTTGGGAATAGATGGTAGGGACCTAAGGGCAGGAGCAGTGAAACTAAACAGATTGCTCTTGCAACAGTCCCAGTGAAAGACAACTGTGGCCTAACCGGAGCTGTAGTAGTGAAGATACTGAGAAATGGCCATCCAGCTTCTGCATGTATTGTGAAGGTGGATCCAACAGGATTTTCTGACAGATCAGAAGTGGGTTGCAAGAATAAGAAAATAATCAGAGATTACCCCCCAATATTTTTGTCCTGAATAACAGGAAGAATAGATTGTCATTTACTGCAATAAGGAAAGATAATGGGACAGAATCCTTAAACTCAGAATCCATAAGGACTGTAAACTATAGGACAAGCCTAGTTCCATGTGAATTGTAATCTAAAAGTATTGTTTTCGTTTTCACTTTTCTAAATAACAGCAAGAAAAAAGCAAGCAGAAAGCAAATAGGGAAATAGACTTTTTTTTTTAATTAGTAAGAAAGTCTTTTTATAAACCTGTCATTCTGGATTTGTTTTTCACTGTTTCCCTGGCATATTTTCTCATTTCTACCAAAATCGATGTCTTAGTTTGGGTTCTCACAATTCTCAGCAAGCAGAAGCGTGGGTCACAGAAGTGGAACAGGGGAAGAGGGTCAGCCAATGCAAGGATGCATGGTGGAGCTAGTAACAACTGTGGGCAATGAGACTCAGTCCCAGTGGGTCTCTCTGAGAAGCCATGTAAAATGCATGTCAGAATTGTCCCTGTGACAACTCTGGGACATTTTCCACTGTCTTCCACCTCCGTTAGTTGAAGGCTGTCACCACAAACATGGACTCTGCCATTCTTATGGACAGTCTTTGTGGTGCTAAGCAGCCTTTGTAGGCATCAGAGGAAGCCCTGAGGCCAAAAATCAGAGCAATATCATAGTCAACACTTGAGTTGGGACACTGTCAATGTGCATGGAATTGTCTAAGTCACCTGACCTTAAATTAGGTGGGAAGGGGGTGATATGCCATGCAAGTCATCGCAAATGACTGCTACACTATGTTATCCGTGCTTCCCTACACCTGCCTTGTGCTTTCACCTCTCTATGCTTTGCTTGCTCTGTTTTTCTTCCCATCGCACTCCCAAACCCCTTATTATCTATGAGTTGTGACCAGCAGTCAAAGTTCTGGTGAAATTTCACTTCCTTTCAAGAACCTAGGACTATTTCCAGTTAGAAGTGCCTTCCACTCTTCTTAATGCCTACAGCATGAACACCCTTAACTTTGGACACTTAACTTCAATGCCTTATGGACAGTTAAATCTTTACATACATGCTTTAGCTTGCCAAGTAGATCTGGCCATCCTGGCCACATGATGGCCAGAATTCTTTGTATCCACTCTGTTGATTTATCCTACCCCATATAAGTGGATTTGACCTTCTCTGGTAGCAAAGAGGGGCAAAGAGAACAATCAAAATGGTCACCAGCATCTTGGGTTGCATCAGAAAGCCACTAGGAGAATGAACTTCCTTTATTCTCCCCAAAACTGACAGGCAGAACAGGCAATTCCACAACTATAAACACTTGGCATATTTACTCTGCTTGAAAGTCTCTGAAAACTCTAAAAAAAGTTAAGATTTTTTTTTTTTAATGAACCCTTTTGGCCAGGTGCAGTGGCTCACATCTATAATCCCAGCAGTTTGGGAGGCTGAGGAGGGAAGATCATTTGAAGCCAGGACTTCAAGACCAGTCTGATCAATATGGTGAGACTTCATCTTTATAAAAAGAAAAAAAAAAGTTAGCCAAGCGCGGTAACATGTGCCTGTAGTCCTAACTACTGAGGAGGCTGAGAAGGGAGGGTCCCTTGAGCCCAAGAGTTTGAAGCTGCTGTGAGCTATGATCGTACCACTGCACTGCAGCCTGTGTGACAGAGCAAGATCCTGGCTCAAAGAAAAAGGTCAGGAGCACCCTTTTTACATGGCAGGGAGGGGTATGGCTTGAAATAGCCTGATTAGGTTACAAATTGAATACATCTTTCTGCTGATTCAGATATCAGGTATAGGCTAGACAAAGGTAATAGCCAGAAAACTTCATTCCTCATATATTATATTTTGCAAATGGAAGATGAGTCTACAAACACAAGAAAAATGGGTGTAGTGGCAGACTCTTCTCTCAGAAAGGCAATGACATAGGCATAACCAATAATAGTACATACGGCCTGATAGAGGGAAGACAGGTGGGAGAAGCAGGGTCCTTGAGCATATTAAGAGCAACCCTAGATGTGGTAATATCTTGGTGGTTATATTATTTTTAATATCCTTATCAGTTAGAGATCCATACTGATATATTGATGTACAGCATAAAATGAGTCTAAAATTTGCTTTTAAAAATGCCAGAAAAAAAGATCACAAAATGTTTATATTTGTTAAAGCTAGGTCATGGGTACATGAGCAAAATCTATTTTGTATATCTGAGAATTTTCATTATAAAATATTTTTTCAAAAGAGCAACACACTAGGTCAGAAACTTGTGTACAGCTGAGGTATCAAGCTGTGAGCCTCTAACTGTAGCAGCTGCTATAGCACCAATAAATAGAAAATTCATGAACCTTTATTGCTCATCATCACTCAGGCATTGCTGCATGGAGTGGGAAGGTTTCCCCACACTAGGGAACGGGGAGTCCTGGTGTAGTAAAAAATGTGATCGCAGTCTTGGTTGCCTGCACAAACTCTTCCCAGATCCCACCCTGTCTCCCTTTCCCTCTCAGTATAGTTAACAGAATGTCACAGCCACAGAGTCCCTTGCTCTTCACCATATCTGCAGCTTCAAGCACCTTGTTGACCATAACATTTGTTTTCTTGCTGACCAATTCATATTCCTCTAATCCTGCTATTTCAATACATTTAATTCTTACCCAAAAACAAGAGCATGACCTCCTCTAATAGAGTAATTTCCCGTTCATATTACTTAACTGAACAATGTTTTTTGATACTAACATGAATATCTCCCCTATTCAGTAATAACTACCATTCTGCCATTCAGCTTGTTTTCTAAATTTAATCTCTCTCAAAAATGGATTCAGGTCTGCATTGACCCAAACTCTCCTTTCCAACCAATATTTCCTTCACTTTCCAACTACCATAGCTCAGAACTAAGCAAAGGCTGATATCTAGTAAACAGTCCTTAGTTTTACTCATTGAGCTACTAACTAAATCCAGAGATTTAGGCATGAAACCTTCATTCGTTCATTCATTCATTCATTCATCCAAAAAGCAATTAACAAGCACCTATTATATGCCATGTCCTGGATCTATGAAAATAAATTAGGTGTCAACTTTGAAGAAAGTCATAATCTAACAGGAGATAAGTATATAAGCAGCTGCAATTAGGTTATTTTTCAAAATGTAGTTAGAAATATATATTTAATATGTATAATATATAGTAGACATATATATATTTCTAACTACATTTTGAAAAATAACCTAATTGCAGCTGCTTATATACTTATCTCCTGTTAGATTATGACTAACATATATATATGTCTAACTACTGTATATTTATTAAATATGTATTTCTAACTACTATATATTAGAAATATATATAGAAATATATTTCTCTGTGTGTGTGTGCATATATATATATACACACACACACAAATACACACATATATACTAGATTAAGTGGCAACATCAATGATATACTCACTTTGACTTCTTGGAGTTAGAAGGTGGAGGTATGTAGAGGAGGCTTCCCAAAAATGAAAAAAAATTTGATTTTAGCCCTACAAGATGGAATAGCAGTTCGTCAGGCATATGTAAAGAATTGGAGATACAGGCCAGGCGCAGTAGCCCATGCCTGTAATCCCAGCACTTTGGGAGGCCAAGGCAGGTGGATCACCTGAGGTCAGGAGTTCGAGACTAGCCTCACCAACATAGAGAAACCCCATCTCCACTAAAAATACAAAATTAGCCGGGCGTGGTGGTGCATGCCTGTAATCCCAGCTACTCAGGAGGCTGAGGCAGGAGAATCGCTTGAATGAACCCAGGAGGCAGAGGTTTCAGTGAGCCGAGATCATGCCATTGTACTCCAGCCTGGGCAACAAGAGTGAAACTCTGTTTCAAAAAAAAAAAAAAAAGATTTGGAGATATAAATTAGTAAAACTGTGTGAAGCTAAAATTAACAATGGGAAATCGTAAGACATAAGGTAGGAGGGGTAGAATATAAAGGTTCTAATGCTGTGTACTTTGAGACTTACTCCACAGAAAATAGAAAGTCACTAAAAGCTTTTAAGTAGAGCTGCCAAACAACAGTATTTGCATTTTAGAAAAATTACCCTGGAGTAGAGTAGGAGATGACTTTGAAAGCTTGGGGTGAGGCAATGGAGCAGAGCAATGAGGCAGCATCAGCAGTTACAGGATGATCATAGCTATTCAAAGGAGAGAAGATGCAGACCTGAATAAGGTGAATTGGACTGATCCATAAATGAATGTACCAGCCTGATTTAAACTTTTATTTTTCCCTAAAAGGGCATTTCTTCTAATAAGTTATCCTGAGCATTTTTAAGGGAAAAATCTAGGAGCAGAGGACAGATTATATGGTTTGGTTGGCTCTGTGTTCCCACCGAAATCTCATCTCAAATTGTAATCCCCATAATCCCCACGTGTCAAGGGAGGGAGCTGGTGGGAGGTGATTGGATCATGGGGGCAGTTTCCTCCATGCTGTTCTCATGATAGTGAGTTCTCACAAGATCTGATGGTTTTATAAGTGTTTGACAGTTCCTCCTTCACACTCACTCTCTCTCTCCACGTGCCATGTAAGACATGCCTGCTTCCCTTTCTGCCATGATTGTAAGTTTCCTGAGGCCTCCCCAACCATGAAGAATGGTGAGTCAATTAAACCTCTTTTCTTTATAAATTACCCAGTCTCAGGAAGTTATTTATAGTGGTGTCAGAAGGAACCATACAACAGATAACTAAGAAATCTACAAATATGGTATATACACCATGCTATTCTCTATTACTCATTCAAAGTTTCCCTTTTCTCTCCCTCCCCAAGTGCTTTCAGCATGATCAGGTTTCATGTCTGTGCCAACCTCCTATCAGCCATTTCTTGTCTTTTTTCTTTCTAATTTTGAGCTCTGACCTTTACTGTTATTCAAATCTTGGTTTTATACTGCAAAGGCTCTTAATTCCAGAATGATGGCCAAGTGAGCCAAACACATTTACCTAAGTGGACAAGAATGTGACATTGTCATGCAGCCATTGTGATGTACCAAAGTCAAGATTGATTTTGACAAGAATAAAAGCTTTCTGTCCTGCTGCCCCTGCTTTATGGGATTTTTAGGGTTTGGAGAAATATCCATTGTCTCTCCTAAAATTCTTGAATGCCCATGTAAGATTGAATGCTATTTCGATAAATAAGCCATTTAATAGTGACAGTTTATATACCAGAATTACTCAGTTGGCTGTTCTTGAATTGTTCATTTTATTTGTCAAGTTCAGGGGAAGTTAGTTTTGGCCAAGTATTTTTTGAATTTTGTTGCAAAATCAAGTTCCAGGTGGTGAGGTCCCAAATAACAGAAGATATGGCAAAAGTCTCAAAAGCATTACAGGTTTAATTAAATTAGTGTTTATTGACCACCAACATAGGTATATTCTATTATAGATAAGCTAGAGTCCATTCTTTGAGAGAAACAAGCCAGGCAATTCTTCGAGGCAGACAGTTACAGAACTGACCTGTACAGACAGGTACAGATGGTATACCAAGCAGGGTTCCTGACGTCATTGTTGCATGGTCGACATCCAATTTGACTGCTACATCCTCCTTTTCATGGAGCCTTGACCACTTCTGCCCTTCTCTCTACATCTTTTTCCTGGCTTCCAAGAACTAAAAGACTGTTCCCAGCTGTCCTAATGATCCTACTTTTCCACCATTCCAACATATCCCTTGATCTGAAATTGCCCTTTCCTTTTCCTTCTTCAATTCCCTCCAAACAAGACCTCTATTTCACCTTCTAAGTTAGGTGTTAGGAGAAAAGCAATCAAAATGCCTCCAGACTAAATCAATTCACACAGAAGTATAGGTGGTAGGAGGCTTAACTTCTATGGCAGCTTTTAGAAGACCTGTTATTCCAAATGGATCTTTGATTGGTGGGATGTGTGAAGGAGTCATTTTTGAGACGTAGGGAATCATACTTTTTTCTTATCTGTTTATGCTGGCCAGAGGCCCTACTTTCAATTTATTTTCTGCACAAAAATCCCCTTCTGAACTAAAGCCAATGCATGCTATTTGGTTTACTTATACCTTAGTGCTGTGATTCTCTAGCTTAGGTCACCAGGTCATAATAAAGGACCACAACAGGAACCTGGCTTGGTTTTACATTTCTTATAGTCTGTAGTTGAGTTCCTTCTCTAAAGCCATGTTCACACATCTGAAATTTTCCTAGATAGACTTTTATGGCTTCTGGTAAAGATAAAAGTTATATTGATTTTCTGTTGCATTGTTAACTTATCAAATAGCAAAATATTTAATTTGGAAGATAAAAAATAGTTTTAAATTTTTTCTTAAAAATGGTGGTAGAATAGTGACCACACTGCATACCCTCTTATGAGAGTGAATTAACATGGAGACCACAAACAGAGGAGTTAATTACATCTTTGTGGTATTACATCCTAACATCAACTCTGCATATGGATAAACCTGCCCTTAGAAAATCCCTAACATCCCCCATTAAAAAAAAAAAAATGAGCAATTAAGAGCCACAAACACTGTTTCTCACTAATCCTGTTACAGTGAGGTCTGCCTCCCATATCAGTTCAGATTGCTGTTTCTTCAGTTGCCCACCAGATAAAACCATGATTTGCATTCAGGGACTACATTGTAAGAAAAGTACGTTTCTTTTAATAGTAGACACACTTGGCCCTGGAATTCCTTTCAGTTAAATACCTACATAGATAGAGGTCACTGTATATTTGCCCCCCTTTGTTTAAAGAGCTAAAATTCTGTCCTCACAGTGTCTATAAGCTCGAGAATCACAGCACTAAGGTATAAATAAACTGAAGAGACTGTCCCTCATGCATGCTGTGACAGAAATCAGCTTTCAGACTAGGTGTGCTGAGTCCCAAACCTGTGCTACATCCCTGCTACAAAAACTGAAAAGCAAGCCTAAAATTCACTATAGGTTCCTAGAAAATCAAACCTTAGATATAAGACCAAGTTATACTATCTTATTCTCTCAGCAAATCCTTAATATGTTTCTTCTCTGTGCCAGGTGTTAGTTAAGCTCAGGTGATACAAAGTTGAATGAGATAGCACCCCTGCCTTCTTTGTCCCAGCTCATAGTTTAATGACATAATCAGGTGGTCACAATACAGTGTAATACAGTGCTGTGACAGAGAGAGAAGCTACAGACTGAGGGCACACAGGGCCAGGGCTCCTAACCCACCTAAGGCAAAGGGTAAGGCAGGGGACATCAGGGAAAACTATTAAAGAAGGAGGCATCCTGAGAGCTGGGATTGTATTTTTTATTTATGGTTTTATTTTTTACCTTTGTATTTTGATGTAATTTCAGGCTAACAAAAGTTGCAAGAACACTACAAAGAATTCTCATATGCCCTTTAACCAGATGTACTAAATGCTATTATATCAAATATGCTTACATACAGATATGCACATACACGCACAAACACACACACACAAATATACATTTCTTTTTTCAAAAAAAATTTGGGGCTGGGCGCGGTGGCTCATGCCTGTAATCCCAGCACTTTGGGAGGCTGAGGTGGGTGGATCACTTGAAGTCCTGACTAGGAGTTCCAGCCAGCCTAGTCAAATGGTGAAACCCCGTTTCTATCAAAAATACAAAAATTAGCTGGGAATGGCGGTGCACGCCTGTAATCCCAGCTACTTGGGTGGCTGAGACAGGAGAATCCCTTGAACCCAGGGTGTGGAGGCTACAGTGAGCCAAGATCGTACCACTGCACTCCAGCCTGGGCAACAGAGACTCTGTCTAAAAAAAAAAAAAAAAAAAAAAAAAAAAAAAATTGAGAGTAACTTACAGAAATTATGATGCCCCATTTACTCTTGAAGATTCTGGTGTATATTTCCTAAAAGCAAGGACATTCTCTTCTGTAGCCTACAAGTAACAAAATCAGGTAATCAATACTGATACAATACTACGATCTTATCTACAGACCTTATTCAAATTTCACCAATTGTCCCAATGTGTACTCTACAGCAGAAGAAATCCCCAGCTCATATGCTGCATTCAGCTTTCATGTGTCTTTAGTATCCTACAATCTGGAACAGTTTCAGATTCTTTCTTTGTCTTTCATGACCTTGTAATTTTTAAAGTGCAGAGTCTAGTTATTTAGTAGAATGTCCCTGAATTTACGCTGGGCACAGTGGCTCACGCCTGTAATCCCAGCACTTTGGGAGGCCGAGACGAGCGGACGACCTAAGGTCGGGAGTTCGAGACCAGCCTGACCAACATGGAGAAACCCCGTCTCTACTAAAAATACAAAATAAGCCGGGCGTGGTGGCACACACCTGTAATCCCAGCTACTCGGGAGGCTGAGGCAGGAGAATCACTTGAACCCAGGAGGTGGAGGTTGTGGTGAGCCGAGATTGTGCCATTGCACTCCAGCCTGGGCAACAAGAGCAAAACTCTGTCTCTCAAAAAAAAAAAAAAAAAAAAAATGTCCCTGAATTTAGTAGAATGTCTCTGGTTTGGAACTACTCTAAACTGTTTCTCGCGGTTAGATTTGGCATAAGCATTTTTGGCAGAAATATCACGAAGGTATGTTGCGCTTTTTGAGATGAGTTTCAAAGAGTGAAGAGGAATCAGCCCACATAACCTATTGCCATATTAATTTATTTTTGCATTCAGACTTGGGAGGATGGAAGACAGAAGGCAAAGGGATAGCCTATAATACTATTAAATAATATTTATCAAGTAGTTACCAAGCACTGTTTGGAATGTGTTACATAAGTTAACTTCATCATCTTCGCAACACCCTTATGACATCCTCACCATGACTATGCTTTTCCCATTTTTCCAATGAGAAATAATCAGGCACAAAAAGATGATGAAGCTAGCGCATGGTGCAGCCAGTATTCAATTCCGGGCAGATTGACTCTTGCCCATTCTGTCAGAAGGGACTTAGTGAAAGCAAAACGCTTACCAAAAAAAAGGCTTGTGTCTTCAGAACGAGTTGGCTTGGAGGTGTGTAACTGGTCCAAGCAACTGGGTGTGGCTCTCCCGCCCTCTGCTGGCTGAATCCCTTATTGCATCCTTTTAACTGCTTTTTGCTCAATTGGATGGTGACTGCAGGGTAAAACCTCCATGTGAGCAACAATCACTGAAATTTCTGCAAAACTCCTGAGTTATGCCTGACCTATGAGAATGCATAAGAATTGGGCATTCCTTCCATTTTTCTTTTTTGTGTGCCTCAGTCCCCTACCACATTCTAAAGATTGGTCAGCAGAATAAATCCTAAGCCCTCTCTTCACCAACTTCTTTTATAAAACTTCCCAGGAGAATTTTTTTTTAACTATGACAAATTTGGAATCCACTGAAGCAGTGAGAAAGCTAACGTTGAATTAATCAGAATACAATCCCCAGACAAGACAATCATTACAGATGAGAAAACCTGTAGGAAGGATGTTTGTCCTTGAAAAATATTTGAAAAAGATCCAGTGTGAAGCAGTCATCTCACAGTAGGCTCCAAAGTGTCATATAAGACAAAATCACTAGGCAAATAAGATGAAGGAGAGGAAAAACTCCTTTGAATGAGTCATAAGTAGCCTCTATTTTCAATCAAAAATCCTTTCTCTTTCCAGGTAAAACCCTGTCCCTCTGAAATTCACAAACCCCTGGGGCTTCCACAAAATTCAATTGTTTTCTCTAGTAAGAGGAAGAAATGGACGTAAAATAAAACCAGAAGACAATGAATGGGCCTTAAAAGGATGGCACACTGATTCATTCCATACATGCCAGAAATGGACCTGGCAAAAGAAAAAGAGTGTGTTTAAATTCCCAAATGATAACCTGGGAGCAATTCTGTTCATTGTGCCTGATTGCAAATACAAATATACTAGTGGCCATTATTAAGCCACATCTAATGTCCCAGGGGAAAGAACTCTTTACTGAAATTTTGAGAACACTCACACTGAACACAAGAATCCCATCTAAGTATTTACTTGATAACTTCTAGATGCCTGTCTGTTTATCTGTCAGGTTGGGAGAGACACAAATACATTTGCATATGGCTACTACCAGGCTGAAGGCTGAAACCTTTGCCCCCAGATCAAATCAAATCAGTAGATAAATGTCCCATGGTAGGTGATTGAGCTAAGCAACGACTTCTTATTTATTTTAATGAAGTATCAAGATTTCCATGAAAAATTATCAGAACTTTATATGTATAATCCATCTGGAAACTAATCCCCTAAGCTATATTGTGGCATTATTGTCACAATAACACTGCATAACAACCAACCACGAAACATCAGCAGCATTCGACATTAAGCATTTATTGCTTACATGTCTGGAGTTGTCAACTACATGGCTCCGCTGATACTACTCTGGGGCTGATGAGACTGTGTCTTTCATCATGCAGAAGCTAGGCCAGTAACGTTCTCATAGCAGTGTTCTCAGCCAGACGACAGAAACATGCAATGCCTTCTTAGACCTAGGCTCAGAAATGTCATGCTGTCATTTCTGCTGCATTCTGTTGGGCAAAGCAATTCACAAGTAAGCCCAAATTCAAGGGAAAGAGACTCTATCTTTTCATTGAGAGAAAATGCAGCCACAGAGCAAAACATGTGCATACAGTGATGGGTAAAGAACTGAGGCCACAACTGTAATTTACTACAGGCCCAGAAAATCATTGAAATCCAATGGGTAACTCTCCACTTTCTCACATTTCACATATACCCTTCTCAATGGATGATCTACTAACAGTGGTCTCTAGGTTGTCCTGGAAATATTTAAGAAAGAAGAAATTCTTAAACCTTAAGGACTTTTGTTTCTGTGAGACCTGGAGCCCCCCAGCTAACTGAAGATGTTATACCAGAGCCTTTGGATAAGACATAAATTTCCATCTAGTGCTATCAGTTTCTCATTGCTCTCTTGTACAAAATTCATTCAAGAGCAGTCTAGAGTTTAAGAAAAAGCAGGAAATTTTCCCTAATATTTTCTCCTACTATATCACAATTTTTGGTCAAGAAATATATACAGTTCTCATCTATATTTTTAAGAACTTTTCTAGTAATGTGTGCTGAAATAAGATTAAAACTTAGGGTACTCTAGGTTAATTTCTTGATCAATAAAATAAGATTAAATATTAGGCCACTATAGGTTAATTTTTTGTTCAATTGCAATAGGCATCTTTCTAGGTGAAAATTAAAACACACATACTATGTGGACATTTTTTTAATTGTAAGAAGGAACTAACAAACACTTTTTTTTTGGCTTGGAAATGCCCATGCTGAAACCTTGGCCTATATCATGACTATATAGTTCTCCAATGACAAGGTTCTAACCACCTGTCATTATTTCCTTCCTTCTCAGATTTTTAAATAATTTTTTCATTCCATAACTGTTCAGTTACTTTTCTAGAAATAATACACAAATTGAAAATATTATAAGGCCCCTCTTCCCTCAGTTTGTAAATAAATAAATGTAACTTCATGGAAGAACCTAATATTTTCAATAATTATATTTTCTTTACTATATTCCAAGAGATTTTGCAAACAGCAAGGGCAAAAAATTAATCTTGTTTCTTTCTTCTTTTTTTCTTTTCCTAGTCTAAGTCAAGACTAGAAGCAACAACATGATGAAACATATGCTTCTGGCATTTCCATCTTCCTGGATTGATGATATACCAGGCAGCCCAATTTTCCCCCAAAGGATAGGTGTGCATTCAAAATATTAAACCCTTAACAAAGACAAATATAAATGCAATTTGAGAAACCCCATTTCTTTCCAAGTCCACTGCATCTATTAATGTAGCCCCTTGACCAAGGACCAGCTCATCTCACTATTAGTACAAATTCTTTTACTCTACCTGACAGTCTGCCTACCTTTTTGTATGTTGGAATATAAAAAACAATTTCGAGAAATAAAAATCAACTCCTGTAACCTATCTCTGCTGATGCCAACCATATTGATTGCTTGACCTTTACGAAGTCTACTGACTAGATGATGCGTAATGTTTGGGGATTAAAGATGCTGATTTACTTTTTTTCTAAGTCAAATTTAAACTCTGACTACCCAAAATCAAACCCTACAGACTGTCTCAGCCTGTCCCCACTTTGCAGTGCTCCCCCTGACATTTGGATACCAGTTACTGATTGAATTTTTAGCAGCTGTCATTCAAGGACATCCAGCTTCAGCTGGACAAGCATTCGAATGGCAGACTCCCAAGGGCCTGAAAATGACCTGGTTTGACACAAATGTGGATAATCTTTCTGCAGAAACAAATGGGTTCAACTAAGTCATCAGTTTAACTGATAACTCTCATCCAGTTATGATTGTCACAATTAAGAAACAGTTTTAGTAACAGAGGCATTCAGAGTTAGGGGTTTTCCTTTTCAGGAAAGGAAATAGGATAAGAATTATTTAGTTTTCTCATTTCCAAGTATTTGGGGAGTAAAATCTATGGACTAAAATCTATTTTTATCTAACAGATGAGTTGTTAGCTTAATGATGTAGGATCTTTATTCATGACCATAAACCCCCATCATCACCCAAAAAAAAGCAAAACAAAAAAAATAGATAATGCGCTGGTGAAAAAAGAAAAAAAGTCTGCCAAGTCTAATTGTGATTCTAAAAAAACTAGCCCTGGCTGCATATCAATTGAGTTTTGTTTAGCTTGCAATTAAAATAAAATTTTCCATCTTTCAAAAAGAATTTCAAAGCACTTTCAAATGGCAAATATTTTTAAAGTTAAGTACATGCTTATCTTTGATAGTATATTTGCAAGTCATTCATGACTTCATAGATAAAAGCCAACTCTTCCATTTTCAACTGGGAACAGGTCACTCTTATCAGCCTACTCTGCACAACCCATATAGACTATAAACACCTCCACTAATAGAACTAATCACTAGAGCACCACCATTGACTCAATATAGAATTCAGACTAGAACATGTATATCTTAACACCTTGTATGGTTTAGTTTCATGTGCACAGGCACTGTAGGACACTAGCCCCAATTCACTTGAGCAGTTTTCCAACTGCCACAGAAAAGGCTTTTTAAGTTGTAGATTGTATATTCCTACTTTACACCCAAAATATAATTAAGGTGATTGACTTATTGGCCACTTTTAGTAGGCTGTTAATGTTGTTTTTGGAAAGCCAATCTTATTGTAAAGTGATATTTGAATGTAAAGAACAGAACCAGCACTTTCTGCCATCAAGGAAGAATTCCTCTCACAAAACCAGTGGTGACCTGGAACCACTTAATACTGGCTCTCAAGAGTTGATTGTGTACATCTCCTCCCAACTCCACATTCAGTGGCATCAGGTTAGTAGCATGAAATTGGCCATGATAGGAGTATTTACTCCAAAGAAATTGGGAAACACTAAAAATTATCAGATAGGATTACAAGTTTAGTATCAGTGATAGGAGAGGAATTCTACAGCAGTTCTGTCCAGTAAAACTTTCTGCAATGGGGCTGGGCATGGTGGCTCAGGCCTATAATCCCAGCACTTTGGGAGGCAAAGGTGGGAGGAACTGCTTGAGGCCAGGAGTTTGAGACCAGTCTGAGCAACATAGCAAGATTCTGTCTCTACAAAAATAAATAAAAATAAAGGAACTTTCTGCAATGGTAGAAGTATCTTATATTTGTACTGTCCAACACAGTAGCCACTATACACATGTGACCACTGAGTAGTTGAAATGTGGCTAGTATGGCCAAAGAACTAAATTTTTTATTTTATTTTTAATCTTAATAGCCATATGTGACTAGTGGCTACCGTTTGGGACATTGCAGTTCCACCATAATATAACAAGTGATGGCATCTTCCAAGAGTCAGGGGACTGAGGTAGATAAGGCTTTAAAAGAAAGAGGAGCACCCAAGAAAGGGGTCACTTCATGTCTTGGAATAATGAAATGTAACAGCAAAGCTTTGCCAAGTTTTTCCATCATATTTTGAATCTGCTATCCACACATTTATTAATTCACAGACCTGGAACAATCAGTTGTAGGAACAGACAGATGAAGGTAGCTCCTCAATAAGGTAGCTTAGTAAGGAAAAGTGGCTCTAATGCCCTAAAATAGTGGTTCTCAAATTTTAGCATGCATCAGAATCACCTGGAGAACTTGTTAAAACACATACTCCTGGGCCCTGCTCTCAGAGTTTCTGATTTCATAGCTTTGAGCTGGAGACCAAGAATTTGCATATCTTATAATTTCCTAGGTAATGCTGATGATGACAGTCTGGGAATCACTTAGAGAACCACTGCTTTCAAGCTAATTTACGGCAATCTCCAATTCCTGCTTCTATCACAGTCTACATGCTTTTCACTCAGGCTAAAGTCCTATTGACCATGTTTCCTAAGATGCTAGAACACATTTCATTACTCCTTGTTGGTAATTCTGTTCTTAAGGTCTGGGATTAAAACTACAAGACACCTAACAAGCTCTGCTACTTTATCTCTTTCGTAGTCACTGGAGCTTTGTTGTTTCCACTATGCCAGATGCTACTTCCAGATGTGCAGTTTAGAGAGTTTCTGCTCATAGCCCCACCTGTTTATGAAAACTGCAGACACCAACTAATCTTTTTCTCTTTTTAACTCTCTTTCTCCCCACGCCTTATAATACCTTCCAATAGAGTACTCTCAACACAAGCAAAAAGAACCAAAATAAGTTCCACTCTGCAAGTTCCTTGACAATATGGATTCAGCAGGAGTTAAATGACTATCTCTCCTAGAAGGAGAATGGTATCAAGGGACTCTTTCCCAAATGGAAATGCATTTACTTGAATAGACTGGAGACCCTGGAATTCAGATCACAAGAGTAAATGGCTTCTCCGAGGCTTCTTCAAGCCTACTTTAATTCTAGTTGAACAAAGAACAATAAAGGCTTTCTGCTTTCTCCTGTTCTTTTTCTACCCCTGCTCATTCAGAGGCGTAAGATGGTGTTAAGGAGGCTATTTCAGCAACTGATCCTGAGGGAGCTAGGGTAAAGAAAACTGATAAATACAAAGTTAGTCATCAATAAATGACAGCTAAAAGTGAGTGTGAGCAATAAAAATGGAAGTTATAAATAAAGAGAAATACAAAAGGGTCAATTTCTGAGGCACCAACTATTCCATTGATTGCTTTAAGTTTTATGTCTGATTAAATGTTTCCTCATTTTCTAATACAAACTTCCATTATGTGTAATCAGCACATTGTTAGGAAATTAAGGTAGACTTTAAAAGTGAGAGCAGAGGTACCAAATTCTGTTCTTTCAGCAACATGAAGCTATTTTTTATCTCTAGGCTAAATCACTTCTAGACTAGGGAATAATTCCTTAGCTTTTCACTATAAACAAGAGATTAAATCTAAACTTAAAGCAAAATATTGAATAAATAAAAGTGGTATTATTTCTCTTTGCATATAGATTATTTATAGTATGAATTATTTGCATACTTTTAAATCTATCTAAAATGGCCTTAAATAATCTTCTTTATGGCAGAAACAATTGATGTGTGTTCAAAATGCAAATTAATTTTAAGGTTAGTCTGAATAAAATACCTCCAAGATAGTAAACCAAACTGTTCCCCTAGTGTACATACACACTAAAATTTCTAGTGCAGTCCTAAATCAGGTTTTCACAAACTTCCAAATTTCCTCTGCTCAGAAAATCAAAAGTTATTTGTCTAAAGAATATTATTTATACTTTCCAGCCTAAAAAATGGTAAAAATTGAGGTTAATAATATGCTTATAAAACAGAAATGATGTATATAATTTTACCCCATGAACATTCCATATCAAAAAGCTACTAATCTTTATCCATCTCCTTTCTCTTTTTCTCTAATATCTTTTTACACCGTATACATTCACCAGGCCTTGTAGTCACTTCTTTTTCCATTTTACACTTTCTTCACCTTTAATGATATATACTTAAAAACACCAAGAAGAAGAGATGAGTTGACATTCACATTAACTGATTTTAATTGTTCACTGAAACTAAGGTGTTCTTGTTCAAGAAGTTTTGTACACTGTGCCCCCAAGATAAGACGCCCTTTATAAAGAAGAATTCTGAAAGCATCACACATATAACACAGAAGTGTATGGTACCAGAACTTGAAAATCTCTATTTAGAGTGTTTTATTGATAATAGAGCAGGTATCTATTAACTATATGCTAAATTTTCTAGCAATTGATAAGTTAATTATAAAGAGGAATTGATCTTCATTTTTCTAGTACTCTTTCTTTTTCATTTTAGAGCTTCTTATTCACAATGAATCCTACCTGTTATTGCATGCTCACCATATGCTGGACACTGTTACATCCTTTATAGCCATAAACTTAGCTCTTTATATTAGCTCATTCACGCATTATAACAACCGATCAAAACAATAATTTTACAACCGCAAAAACTGAGTTTAAAACAAAATTAAGAATTGACCTGGTTCACACAGCTAGGAATGGCAGAGCTGAGTTCCAAACCCTGAAGCTTCAAAGCTCATCATTAAATTCCATGCACTGAAGACTATCTTGAACACTGTAATCCCAGCAAAAGAGCTCTAAAAGAATAAGATGGCAGAAGTTTTTCAAAGTCTAATGAGATCCAAATGTCAATTAAAGCTTCCCAGAAGAACTATTCATTACAATTATCAGCTCTTGCTGGCTTACAAATAGGTTAAAGAGGAAATTAGTTGAAGTAGATTTTAATCACTTAAATGGCTTTTTTTTTCTTCAACAGGTGATTTGTTTCACCAAAAGCAAATCCTGCCAAGAGAATTAGATAAATAAGCAACCTGTAATTGAATGGTTCTTATCTAGTCTTCCCTGGAAGTTAGCAGAATTGAATTAATGGTTTCTGTCCCTTTACCTATGGAAAAAGTTAATATTTCAATTAATATCTTATAACGAAAAAAGGAGCTAGCAGTGGCATTTTTCTTTCCTCTATATTTACTATGCTCAGCTTTCTGCTACTGAATCAGTAATATCAAAAGCATAGAGACTGCCCAAAAACATGGATGACTCTGCAAGTTATTTCATGATTCAAAAAAAAAAAAAAAAACAATGTGACATAGTTCTTTGGGTATCTGTATACTGTTCATTTCTTTACCCATGACACAGAGAGATTTCATCAACCCAACATTTGTTCAACCATTACAAATGAAACAACTTTCTTCTTAGAGAAATTCAGATGATGGGTGTTTTTTTAACTTAGAGGAAAGAATAGGTTAAACAAAAAATTCAGGGAGGAAATAAAATTTACACTAAATTTAATTTAGAAAAACCCTGCAACTGGCCAGGCGGTGGCTCATGCCTGTAATCCCAGCACTTTGGGAGGCCAAGGCGGGCGGACCACGAGGTCAGGAGATGGAGACCATCTTGGCTAACACAGTGAAACCCCATCTCTACTAAAAAATATATATAAATTATCCAGGCGTGGTGGCAGGCGCCTGTAGTCCCAGCTATTCGGGAGGCTGAGGCAGGAGAATGGCGTGAACCTGGGAGGCGGAGCTTGCAGTAAGCTGAGATGGCGCCACTGCACCACTGCACTCCCGCCTGGGCGACGGAGTGAGACTCTGTCTCAAAAAAAAAAAAAAAAAAAAAAAAAAAACAGAAAAACCCTGCAACCTATAACTATAATCACGGATCTGAAATGAAAACCCCTTACTGGTATAGTATAAAAAGAAACCCACCAAACACTCTGTAGCATTGGACTTTTCCTCATTTGTTTGTCCTTCTAATTATTGAACGCTTATTATAATTAGATAATTACCAAATGCTTCCTAGGGGCCAGACACTATGTTAGGCACCAGGGACACAACAGGGAATGAAACAAGCATGGTTCCTGCTCTTTAGAGAGTTTACGGTGCAGTAGGCTTTAAGACTCCTGTAGTCTTAAAGACACACAAATAAGAGAATAATCTCCTACCAACCTGTAGAATTGTGTTTCACAGGGAAAGTTCCATGAAACACTATCTGTCCAGAGATCTCCAGCTTTTCCAGATTGGGGCTGATCTCATTTTCTCCTCAGACGTTTCATTTTCTTGGAAGGCAACAAGAAGTCTGTCAAAAATTATACCTCTAACTGCTGGGTCTGGAAAAGGTGAAAAGCTCCTAAAATTGAATAGTTTCTAAGAGCTCCCAGGGGGGATTAGTGAACATAATCCCAGCTATTCCCCAAGGATGAGACTCAAGCCAGGGTCATGTTCTAAAATCCCCTCTGCACAGTTACTAGAGCCCCATATAATGAGTAGGAAGCAATTGGGACTACAGAAAAATCCAACGTTTGGTGGTAAGAAGCCTGCCTCCGTTGCAAGTGACAGAAAACCCAAATCAACTTGATTCAGACAGTAAGAGGAATTTACAGGTTCAAGTTACTGAAAAATCTAGAGGTTGAATGGGCCTTCAGAGCAATTTCATTACAGCTCCAATTTCTTTTCTCTGTGATTCTTTGAGGCAGTCCTCTCTGGATCCACTTGATCTTCAAGATGGCTTTTCTTATGGACATAAGAGCACTGCCAGCAGAAAGTGGGGCTACAGTTCTTTTTCAAACATACCCAACATACAAGAAGATAGGGTTTTCCATAATTAATGAACAAAAACTCTAAGCTTTACTCTAATTAGTCCACCCCCAAACAACCACTGTAACCAAAGGGAGTATCATCTGCACACTAAAATCTGCCCAGGTCAGAAATCTCCATCCTTTGTGGCAAAGGAAACCGGGTAACCCCAAGGAGCTTTGCCTGTTCACAATCCAGTGCAGGAGACATGAATCATAGTGGCCACAAAAATGGGATGAAGTAGAATGGATGACAGAAAGACAAATAGAATAACCACTTTGTATAGTTTCCTTTTTTTTTTTTTTTTTTTTTTGAGACGGAGTCTTGCTCTGTCGCCCAGGCTGGAATGCAATGGCAGGATCTCACTGCAAGCTCCGCCTCCCAAGTTCACGCCATTCTCCTGCCTCAGCCTCCCAAGTAGCTGGGACTACAGGCGCCCGCCACTATGCCTGGCTAATTTTTTTTTCTTTTGTATTTTTAGTAGAGACGGGGTTTCATCATGTTAGCCAGGATGGTCTCGATCTCCTGACCTCGTGATCCACCCACCTCGGCTTCCCAGAGTGCTGGGATTACAGGCGTGAGCCACCGCGCCCAGCCGTATAGTTTCCTTTTAACCGATTGTCTGTATATAGTAATGTGTTTCCTCCCAACAGGAGCAATGTCTAGCAAGCAAAATCTAGATTAGTTGACTCACGACCCATAAAAGAAGTGCAAATGTGTTTCTAACTTCTTTCCTCAGCTAAATCAACAATAATGTAGAAACTCATGTGCTTCTCTCAGAAAGTTTTATCAGCTACAGTGAAGGAACCTGGATAACATCCCAGCTAATCTTTCAGCAGCAGCTGGGGAAAGCATCAAAAAATTACTTTTTCAATTGTCTGTCCAAGTATTGTCTGCGCTTAATCTGCAGATATCCAACTGTTAACACTAGGGGACTTCGTTCAAACAAAGCAACTGCTAAGGCACCCTGGGCACAGAGCCCCATGTGACCACCCTCTCAGAATGTTAATTAAGAATTCCATAATCAGAGTTAGCTTTGGGAATGTCCTTAAGCCCAGAAGAGCAGCCTAATTTCTCTGCTAATTGCTTTGATTCCCAAATGCTAGTAGAGGCTTTTTGGCAGAACCTACTCTAGGTGAAATGTAGGTTTTCAGCTTTTTCTAAATGAACTTATTTATTCATTTTTATTTTCAATTGGAGTTCCTCATAGTAAACAATGGCTTTAACTATTCGCACATTGGTCCTAATAGGCAACATGCTTCTGCTTCTCTATTTTAACTTTTTGCTTCCAAGTATAACATGGCAAGCAAGAGCATTTGATTTGTGGCCCAAGAGTCCTGTATCTGAGACAATTCTCCACTACCTCTGTAGCCCAAGGTATACCAACTTCTCTATATGTTAAAGAATTTTTTTAAAAAAGGTAGAATCATGATGCTTATACAAATGAATACAAAAATAAATATGTATCAAAGATTTTATTTAATGCATTAATTAATGAGAGAACCAGTAAGATGTTATAACCAGTTCAAAAGATAATTCAAAGAACCATACACATCTAGGCAATAAAGAATACTAAATTGAATTTTACAAGTGGAAGCACACGGGTCTATCTATCCTTGGGCAATAATCAATTACATTTTGGATGCAGTTTATTTGCATTTCTAAGGAGAAGAACCATGATTATTGGTATTCTAAAGCTTACAACATGGCAAATTAGCTCAAAGACAATGAAAAAAAGATAATTCTGAAAAGTGCACTAGCAAGACAATCTTTTTTGTTTTGCCATTTCAAAGTTTTTTACAATTTTTTTCTAAAAAATCTATCAAGTGAAAAACAAATTCATCAAGAAAATGCAAAGACAAGCCACAGGCTGGAATTAAATAGTTGCAAAAGACATATCTGATAAAAGACTGTTGTCCAAAATATACAAATAACTCTTAAAACTCAACAAAGAACTCAAACAATCTGATTTTTTAAATGGCCAAATACCTTAACAGGCACCTCATCAAAGATTTACAGGTGGTAAATAAGCATATGAAAAAATGCTCCACATCATATGTTATCAGGAAAATGCAAATTAAAACAATATAAGTTACTACTATACACCTATTAGAATGTCCATAATCCAGAACACTGGCAACATCAAATGCTGACGAGGATGTGGAGCAACAGAAACTCTCAGTGATGGTGGAAATGCAAAATGGTATAACCATTTTGGAAGACAGTTTGGTGGTTTCTTACAAAACTAAACATACTCTTATCATACAATTCAGCAATTATGCTTCTTGGTATTTACCCAAAGGAATTGAAAACTTATGTTCACAGAAAAACCTGCACATGGATGTTTATAGCAGCTTTATTCATAATTGTCAAAACTTGGAAATAGCCAAGATGCCCTTCAGTAAGTGAATGGATGAATAAACTCTACTACACCCAGACAATGGAATATTATTCAGCACTAAAGAGAAATGAGTTATCAAGCCATGAAAATATATGGATGAAACTTAAATGCATATTACTCATGAAAGAAGCAAATGGGAAAAAACTACATACTGTATGATTCCAAATATATTATATACTGGAAAAGGTAAAACTATGGACTTATTTGGTCACTATACATTTTTTCAAACACATAGAATGTACAACACCAACAGTGAACCCTAATATAAACTATGGACTTTGGGTGAAGATGTGTAAATGTGGGTTCATCAAGTGGTATAAATGTACCACTCTGGTGGGGGATGTGGATAATGTGAGAAGCTTCTATACCTGTGTGGGGACAGGAACTATACTAGAAATCTCTGTACTTTCCATTCAATTTTGCCATGAACCCAAAACTGCTCTAGAGAAAGTATATTAAAAATAAAAATCCAGACTTAGGTAAGAAAAGACCTTATTTAAAGATTATTGCAATAAGGGGAGAAGGACTATTGCATAAGGAGGGAGAACTATTGCAATAGGAAGAATGCTCTGATTATGAGATCTGCAAGAATCCCAAAGGTCTGGCAGAAAGGGGTGTTTCTTTTCTAAGGAGGAGTAAATAACACTAGAAAGAACCAGTTGTGGAGACATGGGATCGATGCATGGCCTGATTCAACAGTTGATCAGGGAATGAGTTTTCCTGAAGTAAGCTGATTCTCAGGAAGGTCAATTAAGCAGGGGTTGTTTCATGTTCCAGTGCTCAAGGGTAGGCCAAAGTTCAGGGTCTGGGGGAAGGAGAGAACCCTGATCAAAATTTGGTCAAGTCAAATTAATGGGCATGTTCTCAGTTTGGTCAATAGGGAAAAATATTTTAGCTAATCATTTGTGAGATAAAGAATGAAAATTTGGAGGTTCTGTACATGACCTTGTCCTGGGTAAACAAGGGGTTCATCTCTGAGTCTTATCTAAGTCACCTGGGGAAAGGTAGTTGTGATACTGTGAAACACAATCATCCTCTGTCTAATGACATTTTGGTGATGAACTGCATATTTAATGGTGGTCCCATAAGACTGTAATAAAGCAAAAATTTCCTGTTGCCTAGTGATATCATAGCTGTCATAAAATGATAGCACAACACACTCCTCACATATTTGTAGTGATACTGGTGTAAACAAATCTGTGCTGCCAGTCATATAAAAGTCTAGTGCATACAATTATGTACAGTAATTAATAATAAGTGACTATGTTACTGGTTTATGTATTTGCTACAGTATACTTTTTATTGTTATCTTACAGTATACTCCTTCTACTTATGGTTTTTAAAAAGTTAGATGTAAAACAGCCTCAAGCAGGTCCTTCAGGAGGTATTACAGAAGAAGGCACTGTTATCATAGGAAATGACAGCTCCATATATGCTATTATACCAAAAGACCTTCCAGTGAGACAAGGTGTGGAGGTGGAAGACAGTGATATTGGTGATCCTGACCCTGTGTAGGCCTAGGATAGTGTGTATGTTTATGGCTTAGTTTCTAACAAAAAATGTTAAAAAGTTTTCTAAAAATTAAAAAATTTAAAAAAAGCTTATAGAATACAAATATAAAGAAAAATTTCTGTACAGCTGTACAATGTATTTGTGTTTTAAGCTAAGTGTTATAACAAAAGAAACAAAAAGTTTTTTAAAAACTTAAAAGTTTATAAAGTAAAAATGTTTCAGAAAGCTAAGTTTAATATTAAAAAAGAAAATTTTAAAAAATACATTTAGTGTAGCCTAAGTGGACAGTGTTTATAAAGTCCACAGTAGTGTACAGTAATGTCCTAGGCCTTCACATTCACTCACCACTCCCTCACTGACTCACTCAGAATAACTTCCAGTCCTGCAAGCTTCATTCATAGTAAATGCCCTAGACAAGTGTACCATTTTTTGTATCTTCTACAGCATATTTTTACTGTACCTTTTCTATGTTGAGATATATTTAGATACACAAATACTTATCATCGTGTTAAAGTTGCCTGTAGAATTTAGTATAGTAACATGCTATACAGGTTTGTAGCCTAGGAGCAATAGTCCATACCATAGAACCTAGCTGTGAAGTAGGCTATACCATTGAGGTTTGTGTGAGTACACTCTATGATGTTTGCACAATGAAGAATCACCTAACAACACATTTCTCGGAATGTATCCCCATCCTTAAGGAACACATGACTGTATGTATTTTTTCTTTGTCCAGTTTCCTGACTTATAGAACCTAAAACTCTTGGAATCTTCAGTGTCATAAGAGTATGTTGTGTATGTTAATGAGATGATTGGTAGCTGGGGCTTCCTAGATAGCCTCAGAAGGGAGGCTGGTCACTAGATAGACCAAGGTATAATTAGAGGGTTGGGGCTTTCAGTGCATGCTCCCCCAAACCTAGGGTGGAAGGACTGGGTAGAGGGGCTGAAGTTTAAGTTGATAATAGCATAGATTTCATAGTGTGGTCTTTGGAGAACTAAGCAGCCCAAATCTAAAACACATTAGACTCTTAACACGATGCTGGTACAATGCTAAATAGATGAGAAATATCACTGTTTCCATTATTCATTGATGCTTCTATAGCCAAAATATCTTTCTTATACCAGGCTTTTTTTGGCTTTTCTTAATTAACTACAGAGATCATCTTTGCCCATTAACCCATTATCCAAGATAAATTCAGTTATGGTTTGCATGTTTATCCCCTCCAAAACTCATGTTAAAATTTAGTTGCCATTGTAATAGTATTAAAAAGTGAGACCTTTAAGAAGTGTGTAGGTCATAAAGGCTCCGCCCTTACAAATGGACTAATGTCATCATCATGGAAATGAGTTCATTATTACAGGAGTAGTTTCATCCTCCACTTGCTGTTTCTCACCCACTTTGCCCTTTGGCCATGTAATGCCTTCTGCCACATTAGGACACAGCAAGTAGGCCCTCACCAGATGCCAGCACCTTGATATTGGACTTCCCAGCCTCCAGAACTGTGAACCAATAAATTTATGTTCTTTATTAATTACCCAGTCTGCAGTATTCTCTTACAGCAGCACAAAACAGACTAAGACAGAAAATTGGTGCAGGAGAAGTGGGCTGTTGCTTTAACAAATACCTGAAAATGTGTTAAGCAACTTTGGAACTAGGTAATAGGCAGAGGCTGGAAGAATTTGGAGGAGCAGGCTAGAAAAAGCCTATTTTGTCATAAACAGAGCTTTAAGTATCATTCTAGTGAGGGCTCAGAAGAAAACAGGCAATGTAGGGAAAGTCTGAAACTTCTTAGACATTACTAAGTCATTGTGACCAGGAAGCTGGCCAAAGTATGAATGGTAAAGGCAATTCTGATAAGGTCTCACACAAAAATGAGGAACAGAAACAAGGTATTGGAAACTGGAGTACAGGCCATTCTTGTTAAAAAAAAAAAAAAATAGCCAAGAACTTGGCTGAATTGTTCATGCCCAAGGGCTTTATGGAAAGCAGAACTTTAGAGCAATGAACTAGGATATCTGGCAGAAGAAATTTCTGAGCAAAATATTGAAAGTGCTGCATGGCTTCTTTTAATTATATACAGTGAAATGAGAGAAAAGAGAAAGTATTTAAAGATGGAATTTATAATTAAAAGGGAAACAGAATATAAATATTTGAAAAATTTGTAGCCTGTCCACAAAAAGAATGTAAAGCATGCAATGGTGTGGCCAAGCAACCTTTCGATGAGGGGATTAGTATAACTGGAGAGAAGCCAGATGTCATTCATCAAGACAATGGGAGAATAACCTCAAAGGTATTGTGGAGATCTTCAAGGCTGCTCCTCTCATAATGGGCCTAGAGCTCCAAAAGGGCAGAATGGTTTCAGGATATGGCTGAGGGCACCTTCTACTGACCAGGGCCACCTTGCTCTCTGCATTTCAGCACAGTGCTCCTCAGCCACCCCAGCTGTGGCCCAAGTAGACCTGTGTGCAGCTCAGAAAATGGACTAAGACAAACTTTGTTAATAATTTCTTTCTTTTATCTCTGCTTATATGAATAAAATGCACAAACCCAAATGTCTAAAAATAGAAGAATAAAGAACCAAGTTGTGGTCATCCACCAAATGGTGCAAGGATGACAGTCAAGGCAGCCTAAATGTGTTGTCTATGAAGAGTTTTAATAATGTAGAAATATATCAGAATATATTAATTTTAAAAAATATAGAATTTTATAGCCAAATAAATAAGATAGATGATTGATAGACTGATTTATATATGAAAAATAACAAACACAACTCTTGCTTTATCATTAGACATTGTGCATCCTCTCTCTTTTCTGTATAATATGTTCTGAGCATCTCCCCATTTGCACAAATAGTCCTTGAGAATATACACTCTTAAAATTATAGCATAAGATATATTCCTTTCTATGTTATTTTTCTATTAACCTCTGACTCTCTCATTAAGAATTATGTGGCAGAGGATGGAACATTAAATTGGCAAGCTCATGCAGCAAGGCCTCAAATAAATCTTCATTTGAGACAAAGAAGAGTTCAAACCACAAATGCCATGGTCAAAAGAGGACTAGATGAGAGATCTAATAGAGAGAAAATTGGTTACTGGAAATAGGAGGGAAACATTTATATTATAGTCTGGGGTTTGGAACGAGCCAATTTGAAGGAATTGAGACCATTTTCCCACCCCAAATGGGAACTAGAAAACCAGAGTTGCCCTTCTCCCATCCCTTCTGTTCAAGAATCAATGTTACATTAGTTCCCTGAATACCCATATTTCCCCATGCTGCTTTGGTTTTGCATAAGCTGTTCTTCTGCCTTGGATACCCTCCTCCACTTGTCCACCTGGCAGACGCCTCCTTATCATTAAGTGTCACTTGAAAGCTATCTTTTGCATGAGGCTTTCCCTGATTCCCCCAGAGACAATTAGGTTTTCATTTCCCCGGGCTTTGTAGGGACCTTTGTTACAGCCATTGTTAGCCCAAGCTGCGCCATTTTGTCAACCTCCCACCGTTTTGTACACCCTGGCCAGAGTGGAAATTTCCCAGCAGTGGGAAACACATTGTCGGGCAGGTCTCAGGCCCAACTGCCTGGCCATCGGAAATTCTTCCCTTATCAGCAGCTAACCACACCGCCCATCCCATTTTGCAACAATTCCACCTCTCCCAGCTAGACCTGTAACTGCCCCAGTCTGTAAAAGGAGCTCGAGCTCCAGCCACATAGCTGGTGTCCCCCTCCACAGGTTTCTTCGTCCAATAAACCTGTGTTGCTTTTGACCTGCATCCCCTTGTTTCTGTCTCTTTTCTCCATCCTAACAGCCATCATTTTATTGTAACATAACCATTTGCATGTTGGTCTCCTCTAGTAGACAGTAAATGCCTCAAAAATAAGGTTTACATCTCTTTATGTCCTGTACTTAGCATATTATAGATACTGAATGATTAATGAGTAAATAAATGGACAAATAAATGAAATTGTGTAATGAGATGAAGTAGAATTCATTCACTTACTTGGGACCAAAAATAAAGTCCTGAGGCCACAGCAGTTTGAACTGCCTAACTCCTAAAAATTACCAATATTCTCATTTTACAAATAAAGAAACTGGAATTCTAGAAAAATTAGGAAACTTACTCCAGAAAGTAAATTTCAAAAAACAAATACAAATAATTCTCCATTACATGAAAAGGTAAATGCAAATTAAAACCATTTTTTATCTATTAGACTGGCAGATATAGTTTTTATAATAAGCTTTTTTGGTATGGTATAATAGGCACTTTTATATATTGTTGGTAGAAGTGTACATTGGAATCACCACCAATTTGACACTATAGTGGAAATTTGTATCAAGATTACAAATATATGTAACACTTGGACCAGAAAATCCACTTTTAGAAATTTATCCTACAAAAACTCCTATACTAGTTTGAAAGGTTATATGAATAAGAATATTCATTCCTTCATAGTTTGTAGTAGCAAAAGGTTGGAGAAATCTCTGTTGTCTATCATCAGGCTAAACATATTATAATATATCTAGAGCAGTGGTTCTCAAAGTATGGTCCTCAGACTAACAGCATCAGCATCTCCCGGGAATTTATCAGAAATGCAAATTCTCACACTTGAGGGTAGAGCTCAGCAATCTGTATTTTAACAAGCCCTCTATGTAACTTTGATATATATTAAAATTTGAAAAACATTCACCTATAAAATGAAGTACCATGAAGCTAGGTAAAAAAGAGGAAGCTGTCTATGTGCTGCTAAGGCAAGATCACCATTACACAGCACTTTGTTAGGTGAAGAAACTGCAAAAGAGTGTCTGTAATATGTCACCTTTTTGTAAAAGAAAGAAGGAAAGAAGCCATATTTTAATTGGCTTTTAAATAAATTTTTTAAACTGAAAATCTGGACGCAAGAAATTAAGAAGAATCATTATGTATGACTGCAGTGTCTTGGCAGAGGGGTAACAAGAAATAGGAGAGAGACTTGTAACTATGAACTTTATTTTATACTTTGTGAGTTTTTTTGTTTTTGTTTTTTGTTTTTTTTTAGACAGAGTCTCTCTCTGTTGCCCAGGCTGGAGTGCAGTGGCGCCACTTTAGCTCACTACAACCTCCACCTCCTGGGCTCAAGAGATTCTCGTGCCTCAGCCTCCTGAATAGCTGGGACTACAGGCACACACCACCATGCCCAGCTGAGTTTTGTAACTTTAGTAGCGATGCCGGGCGGGGGCGGTTGACCATGTTGGCTGGCTGGTCTCAAACTGCTGACCTCAAGTGATCCACCCGTCTCAGCCTCCCAAAGTGCTGAGATTACAGGCATGAACCACTACACCTGGCCTTGCTTTGTGATTTTTGAACCACATGAATATATTAACTCCTTGATTGACAGATAGATTATAGATAGATGGATAGATAGATAGACAGGTAGGTGACAGATAGACAGACAGACTTGTTTTAATTATGTATATCTCCAAAGTGTAGTGAAAGAGAATTACTAACTGAGCTAACTCCTTCCTACTGCATTTTTCTTATCAAGACCCTGCAGAATTATAAACAGTTCTGTTTTTTTTTCTTTTTTAAGAGTTACTGATGATCTGTAATAAAATCAGGTAGATAACACACAGACAGACAGACACTCAGATGCATGTAAACACACACTTAAGGAAGGACTGGCTGCCTTGTTAACAAGATAACTAATTTTCCAATTGCTTATTTCCAAATTTAAGACATTTCTTACCCATGTGCAGGAGTTTATCCAATTGCAGAAAGGCGTATCTACTCACAAATTGTCTGTCTAAATTGGAGCAACCAGACAGATCTAAACATAAAGGCTATTAATAATGCAAATACCAGGTCACACTGATTGAAGATAATTAAATTAAATTAAACAGCACACCTACTATACGGCTTGTAATCCTAGAATCTGAGCGAAGTCCAACAATTTAGATAGTTTCAAACATGCACAACCCATTGATACCAAGAAATGTTTTGTGGTGGTCACATTAGATGTCTATGTGAGTATATTGCTGTTAATTTGATGTGTGAACCTTAATAGTTACTTAAAAAATCCAATTGTCCTTTCTATAAAAAAAGAAAAACTAGCGTAACCCTCATCTTCTCCCTGGAATGTGATAGGAATTAATTAGGGATTTTTTAAATTTAGTAATATTTTTAGCTTTTCAGTTCCATACATTATGCAAAAAGCAAATAGCCTTGTCATAAATGTCTTATTATTCTGTCCTATTTTCAGTGTAGTGACACTCGGACAGAGTTAAATCCCAAGATCACTTCCTGCTGCCAAACTTCAAAATGGAATCCACAGCAATGACCTCACCTAAATCTCCAGAAGGACTGGAAAATTACAACTCCAGGTGGCTGTTTCTGGCTTACGTCCTCAGGAGACCTTTATAGGCCCTGTGCTGTAGAACATGAGCCCCACACTAGGTGTATTTACCGTGCTATTTGCTTTGATCTGAATTTCCTCTGATAAGTACCTTTGAAGTCCACATATTTTTCTGAGTCTGCTGCCCTGCAGATGCCCAAAATGAGCCATGAGAACTATTAAACTGTGTCTTGACCTTCTGTGGAAGCTCAAATGAACCATCAGTAATAGGATATAAGAGAACCAAGAGAGACCATAGCCAGTGATAGGTACAATTGCTATCACTGTACTTCTTACCTATTTCAGAGACAGGCTATAAAGATTTCAGAAAATGTTAGCCAAGTGCTTTGAGTCCTGGAGAAAAAATATTAGTGGAATTATTTGAGACAAAGAAGGGAAAAGAGAGTTTCTTTTTTAAAAGGTAGAAGAACAAAGGGAACAACAGAAATTCAATTCAATAAATAGTTATCAAGTGCCTGCCAAGTACTAGGCCCTGGACTCAGAACCGAGATGTGTGAGTACTTACAGGACAGTGCTCTGGAAGACGAATGGGAAGAGACATTTAATAACAACAAGGTAGATTAAAATAAATTTCATGAGAGATGAATTTTTTGTTCATTTGTTTTCATTTCCAGCAACAAGCACTGAATTTCACACAGAGGGTATACTCACAACACTGAAGATATGAATGAACAAATTACTGGATACAGAACACTGGGAAAAAAGCTTGTTTCTAGCCTCTTGTCTCTTAGTCTGCTTTCCTTTATGCACATTCCCCAGCTTGTGACTTTAAAACTCTATTCATCACCTAAGTATTATATGCCTTTCAGAAGCACCATTTGTAGGGTTTAAAGTTTATTAGTAGCAACTTTTCTTACCACTTGGCTGCCATCAACATAGGGGGCAGTTTGGAAGCTATACTGAAATAACACAGACTGCATGTTAGGAGTAAGGAAGAAACTGATTCATCCTGTTTTGCTCAGGACTTTCCCCAATTTAATAGAGGAAGTCCTGCTTTCTGAGAAATTTCTTAGTGCCAGGCAAACTTGGATGGCTGGTCACCATAATTAGGGACTTCCTATGAACTTTTCTTCAAGTATTATCTCTGTATTTTAGTGTCAGAAAATTGAAAATGTTAGACTGCAACTTTCTGGAATACAGGTTAGCAATTTCCCTTTTACAACAATTGAAGCTCTTCCCATCTCTTACTTTCCTCTAAAATATTCACACTTTTTTAAAGTTATCTGACTCCTATTGCTCCTACCCGCAAGAATCTTTACTTGTTTCAGAAAGTTTTAGAGCTAAAATGCACATAGAATTAGCTAAACTAGTCCTCTTTTTACTGTTGAGAAAACTTGAGTTCCCATGAGACAATTGGCCAAAGTCATACAGCTCTTTAGTCAGCAGAACAAGGCAAGTGCTCTAGTCTCCCAGTTTCCAGGTTAGTAATGTTCCTCTTACACTGAGCTTTTAAAAATTAGTCTATCTCCAATAGGTTAAAAATTATATTTTATGTTCCATAAACCCAGACTTATACATGTCGTTTCCCCCTTCACTGTATTTGACAATTCCTAATAAAATCCGTCACAGTGCTTTGGATATCAGTTTATAATTTGATCAACAGTAGTCTAGTTTTAAGTGCAGTATTCGGCTAATGAAAAAATAACACAACCTCTTTTATTCATGATTACAAAAGTCCTTTAACTCTTCAATGAAAAAAAATGTTTAAGAATACTTTTCTATTTCATTGGTTATAAAACTCTTTTCTTCTACTTACCAGAGCCCATTACTGCCTACTGGAGTCCATGATCTAATAATGTCAAGAGTAACTCACAGTATTTATCAGTTTAACAATGTCCTTTAATCTCTACAATAACCCTGTCAGGCAGTATAGTGGATGAGTTGTCCCCTGAAGAGTTTGGTTAAAAAAAAAAAGAGAAAAAAGAAAAAAAACCCTTTCCCTCTGAGAGTTGCACTGCAAAATCAATACAATGCATAGTGATAGAGACATGCAAAGTTGATTTATAAGTCAGTTGAATCCCAGACACGCATAAGACAAGTTTGAAGATATTTGCCAATACCTCAGTCATTATAATGACTTTATAATAAATAATTACTTTATAAAAAAAATCACTGGACAAGTCAGAGAAGCTGATGCCTATTCAAGGGAGAGGAATATTCCTGTAATAGAAAACGATACAACAGGCTACCCTTACCCTGGTGCTCCAAAATTCAACCACATAACTAATTATCTTTATTTGGATCCTATTCTCACTTAATAACTTTCTGACTTTGAACTTCCAAAATTCCTTGCCTTCAAAGACAGTATGGCCTAGCCAAAGAATAGCACTGTTCATGCTCAGTGACTTTCACATTTATCATTCTAAAGTAATAAACTTTTATGCTGATTTATAGGTCAATCTTTACAAATTTGGTTACAAGCCTTGTCTTGAAAGAAGATGCCACTCTGAGAATACAGAAAACCCTAGTCGCCATAGGTTATGGCAAATGCCCCATGGTAACACCTCCTCCGGAGGCCCCTTGACAGCCAGCCAGTTCACCTCTCCTTGTGACTCACTGTCCCTGGCTTTGTATCTTCCACAAAAATGTCACCTAATAATGTTATCCTCATTTTATATATGAGAGAATTAAATCTGGAAGCTAAGTGCCTTGGCCATGGTTGCTTAGTATAATTATGGTCTGGAACTCAGACCTTTAACTCCAATTTTAGTAAATTTTCCTATCCTGACTTTGTGGCAGATACCTCGGTGTTTCATAGCACATCACCCTGGACACCTTGAATTTCAGCCTTAGCAAAAATCCACATGAGCTCAGACTACCCTCAGGTTGAGGGCATCAAGGGCATGTCACCCATCTTTCTGCTTTCTGCCAAAAGGCCTTTTCTGATGCAATGCCATAGAAGCCTGCTCAGACCAAGGACAAGCATAGTTCAAAGGTTGCTCTCAGAGATAGCCTTCAACCTACGGGGAAATGAGGGGGGCCAGATAAATGTCTCTGACTCGTATCCTACAGGTGGATGCTTCTGCAAAGTATGCTTCTCAGAAGACCCCAGGAGAATCAAGTCTTTGTTTCACTCCCTTACATTGGGTTTTCCTCCATCCTTGTCTAACTCTTCTCATACCCTCACTACTGCTTTCTGGGATCCTCCCCAAATAAATTATAAGCACCCAAATTCATTTCTCAAGCTTTACATTGAGGTGAACCCAAACTAAGACAGAAACCTTTACTCTTGAGAGTGAGCTAAGACAGACCTTCTTTCTCTGACATCCAGGAAGCTCCTCTCTCACTGCTGTCCCATGAAGACCTACAGAAAGCCCATCCTCGGGGCTTCACAAGAGCCGCAGTTTGGGCCAGGCTTTAGGGCCCATGTGATGACTTAGTAAATCATATCCAGGGAAGAACTCTAACTCAGGGACCCAGAAGGGTCCTAGAAGCTGACAGGGATATTACATTCTCTCTATGTCTAGAAGAGCACAACAGACTCTTCATCTTGTGAGTTTCTACAACTACCAACAGTCAGAAAGCTCCAATTATCTATTGATACATAATACACTACTCAAAGCGATGGCTTAAAATGATGGCAATATTTATTTTGCTCACTGCATTATAGATTTATAAATGCTGTCTTAGCCCAGTTTTGAGGCTCAGGCTACAGGCTGGTCAGTTCCCCTTCTTGAGCAGTCAATTATATCCATCTTCAAGCATCTCCCTTATTAGGCTCTCTCGTTCTGGGCCACTGTACACCCATCCTAACCACCTCAGAACCACATACCAGAAAACTGAGGACAGTCTTTATGCCTCAGAGGCCCCTGATTCCTCAATTCAATCAGCCCACTTATTCCTAATATTCAACTGGCCTATCCAAAGCCTACTTGCCCTATCTCACCTTTTTTTCTCCCACAGAAACCCCACAGTGCAATAAAAGCACTTTCCCAGAGTTCCCCTCTCTCTCTGTGCACCACCAATCCCAGTGCTTCTGCTGCTGAGTGGCCCTGCATGGCATACTGTGTTCTCAGGGAACAATGAATGTAACAAAATTGTAAAACTCTTTCCAGCTTCTCTTTCTTGATCTCTGCCTGGCCTCACCATACCTCACCTAAGGTAAAATGGTTAAAACACAGAACAATCCTGCAATTTTGGCAGGGCTTGATAGTGCCATCTTGTCTCTGCTCCAAATGGCCCCAGCTGGAGTGGCTCAAAGGCTGGATAATAGAACCATTTAAAGGCTCACTTACTCATTCACATGCCAGGCAGTTGATGCTGGCTCTCAGCTGAGACCTTAGCTGGAGATGTGGCTGGAAATACCAACATGTGATCTTGCCATGTGACTGCTAAATTTGAGAGAATTAAATGCCTTAGGCAAAGTCACTCAGTAAATATAATTCTGGACATGAACACAGGCTGGGTTCCAAAGGAGAGTGTTCCAAGAAAAAGTCAGATGAAAGCTATTTCACCTTCTCTAACCTTCTCTAGCCTCACAAATCATGGAGGACGCTGCATTCCACCTGTTAGACATGAGTCCCTAAGGCTGGCCTCTATTTTGAGAGGAATGTCAAAGAATTTGTGGACAGAGTATTTATCCTTTGAGGAATCTGCCATTATTGACTTTGACATATCATCTTGTCTTAAGGATCTGATCCATGGATTCCCTAAGATCTTGGAAAATGGTCCCTAGATTTCCTAAACTACAAGAACTCAGAGACCTGTAAAGGTCTTTAAAAAGCATGGAGTTCGGCCGGGTGCCGTGGCTCACGCCTGTAATCCCAGCGCTTTAGGAGGCCAAAGTGGGCAGATCACAAGGTCAGGAGATCGAGACCATCCTGGCTAACACAGTGAAACCCCGTCTCTAGTAAAATACAAAAAAATTAGCCGGACGTGGTGGCGGGCGCCTGTAGTCCCAGCTACACGGGAGGCTGAGGCAGGAGAATGGCGTGAAACCGAGAGGCGGAGCTTGCAGTGAGCCGAGATGGAGCCACTGCACTCCAGCCTGCGCGACAGAGCAAGGCTCAAAAAAAAACAAGCATGGAGTTCATCTTTCCATCAGTATACCTAGCAAATGGTTACCTAGATAAGGTTTAAATGCATTATATGGCAACAAAATAGGTCAGTACCTTCTCACGCTCCCCATTTTACTGTGAACAGCTCTGCCAGAATATTCTTCCTTATCAAAGTCTATCTTTCCTCAAAAGTTCCAAGTCTTTGTTTTATTAGTATCTGTAGAATTACACAAAATAAATCCAATCTCTCTTCCACTTGATAGTTTTTAAATATAAATTATCGTATCTACCTAAATCTTCTCTTTTTTAAATTTAATAACTCCAGTTTCCTTAGCCATTTTTACAGAATTGGGACTTATAAGATTTTTCCTCAACTTTATTTTTTTATTATTTTATTATTGTTATTATTTTTTGAGATGCAGTTTCTCTCTTGTCACCCAGGTTGGAGTGCAATTGTGCAATCTCGGCTCACTGCAACCTCCACCTCTCGAGTTCAAGAGATTCTCCTGCCTCAGCCTCCCACGTAGCTGGGACTACAGGCGCCCGCCACCATGCGCGGCTAATTTTTTGTATTTTTAGTAGAGACGGGGTTTCATGATGTTGGCCAGGCTGGTCTTGAACTCCTGACCTCAGGTGATCCACCCACCTTGGCCTCTCAAAGTACTGGGATTACAGGTGTGAGCCACCGCCCCCAGCCAACTTTATTTTTTAAATTGAATGTGATAATTTAAATTTATCCTAATTCAATTTTATGTTTAATAGTCTCTGTTCCTTTGTTCTACCTGTTCTGACCCTTTCAAGTGTTGTTTTCTTTTATCTAAAAATTTGATGTACATATCTTTCTACCAACTCATTAATTAAAATGCTAGAGAAACTCTTAAGGTAAGCCACCAAGTGAAAATTGATTCATTTATCAATTCTCTACCAGCTATGCTTAAGTCCAAGTATATTGAGAGGTGGTTTGTTTACATCTTTTAATATAAAATACACTATGGCTTCTAATAGTTTCTTGACCTGACAGCTTATTTACTCTGCTTTTTCAAAAGGAAATACATTTTGTGACTCTTTTAACAAATATTTAATGAATGCCCAATGCATGCTAGTGGCTGTTCTAAGCACTTGGACACAACAATGAACAAAATAGTCAAGGATTTTGCCTTCTATGGGACTTACTGGAAGAAGTGATAATTTTAATTAATACCTTAATAAAACAATCAGTCCCGTAAATATCTGAAGCCAGAGAGATGCAACAGAAGAAACTACGTACCAAGACACTTGCGGACATGTTTGAAAACCAAATGGAGGAACAATGGGATCGGAGGTAATGAGGGAGAATGAATGTGGTACAAAATAACGTCAGACAGGTGGATAAAGACTACTGCTTTGGATCCCAAAGGCCACTGTAAGGTGTTCAGGTTTTCTTAAAAGTGCAATTGGATGATCAGTTGCAGGGGTTAGGGAAGTCGCCAAGACCACCCTCACTTCTGACACCAACCACAAGTTCAGGGTTCCCAAAACAACCCTCAGATTCAATAATTCACTAGAAGGACGTACCAGACTCACTGAAAGCTGTTATACTAAGGTTGTATTTTATTAGAGTTAAAAGATGCAGATTAAAATCAACCAAGAGAAGAGACACATGGAGAAGAATCCAGGCAAGTCCCACTCACGGACTCTCCAGTTGTAGCCTTGCAGTGGAGTCAAGGGCAACACCACATTCTCTTGGCAACTATCTGTGACAATATGCATGAAGCATTGCCAATGAGGGAACTCACCTAAGCCTTGGTCCGTAGTTTTTATTTGGGCTTGGGACTGTCCATGTTGCTGACCTTTAGTCTCAAGCCCCTCTAGTGGCCAAGCCACCTTGGGGGATTCCTAAACACCCCATCATAAATCACATTGCTAAACCGGGGGAAGAAGCAGGATGGAGGAGATAAATATAGAAAAGTTGTTAGGGAAAACAAAACAGGCAATTCAGGACAAGGTTGGCTCGCCAGTAGACCAAATGCTCACTGTTTTCTAGGAGCAGCTAAATCACTCATTTATCAATCAGCTCTTTGCAGACAAAGTTAGCTGTCTTCAGAATCCATATTTTTCCTTTTTATGGAAAAGTAGGATGTTTCTCTTTTTTTCATTATTTTTGAAAATTTGTAAGTTTTCTTAATTATGCAATGACTTGAACAAAATTTCCACAATTGCAAAGTGGAGAGTAAAATAGTCTTTGAGCACCTAATATTTGTCAGACACTACTAGCCACATTTGTACATGCCATTTCATCTAGTTTTAAGCAGATTGCTTTTCCAAATGTGCTGCAATATAATTCCACTAAGTCTGAAGTCTTGAGTTTATCTAAAAGACCAACTCTGGGGATCAAAATAAATATCTCAGGTAGTAATTTCAGTATATACAGACATTAATTAATTTCACATATTCAACAAATATCTATAAGTTGCCTATTATGTGCATGCAAGGTGCTCTGTATTCACCAGTGAAGGTGGCGGGCACTGGCGCCCACCCACCTGGAGTGTACTGCCCATTACTGTATGATGTAATAAGAAACTCACAAACTTTAGCACCAAAGCCACCAGGATTTGAATGAGGGCTCAACTACGTAGTACCTGTGTGGCGATGAGAAAATTACTAAACTTCTCTGGAACATAATTTTTGAATCTGCAAGTGGGACTAATACCACTCACCTCCGAGGGCTGTTGTGAGGTGTGACAGAATTCATGTAAAGTGCCTGACCAGTGGTAGAGTGTTAGTTCCTTTCTGACCCTTATGTGATTTGACCTAAAAATTATAGACCTGTCCTCAATCTCCTTCTCTTTTTTAAGCCAAGAGAAGAGTGCAAAATTCTAAACATGATACTTAAAATAATTAGATTGCATGTTTCCTAAAATAGAGAAAATCTACTTTTATAGTCTTTTGGAAGATTCCAGACCCACAGCCCTAGTCTCATTTTCCTTCATGACTTTTGGACATTTATGTGGTGGTGGTAACCAGCCTCCATGATGGCTCTTAACAATCCCCATCTCCTGACATTCACACCTTTTGTCATATAATAAATGTGTCTGATCTGTGTAACCAGAGAATGTTGTGAAAATGACTGTGTGACTTCCTACATTAGGTCATGAACATTGTGGGCTTTACTTTGCTCTCTCCTGGATCACTCGCTCTGGGGGGCAGCCAGCTGCCATGTTATGAGGACACTCTATCAGCCCTATGGAGAGTCCCCATGGCAAGGACTGAGGCCTCCTTTCCAAAACCAGCACTAACCTGTCATCCACACAGAAGCAGATCCGTTAGTCCCAGAATGTCCTTCAGCCCAGCAGACAACTTGACAGCAACCTTATGAGAGACCAAGTCAGAACCACCCAGCTAAGTCACTTCCTGTGTGAGATGAGAAATGTTTATTGTTTTAAGCTAAGTTCCAGGGTAACTTGTTTGTTATTCATCAATAGATATGTAGTACATATGTAATAGTCCAGGTGAAAAGCCAAAAATGGAAAAAAGCCAAGTGTTTTTCACAGGCTGAAATACGTGATGCAAAGACATGTCTCCTGTTTTCCAACACAATTCAGGAGTCGACATTCTTTTTTTTTTTTTTTTTTTGGAGACGGAGTCTCGCACTTTCGCCCAGGCCGGACTGCAGTGGCGCTATCTCGACTCACTGCAAGCTCCGCCTCCCGAGTTCACGCCAGTCTCCTGCCTCAGCCTCCCGAGTAGCTGGAACTACAGGCGCCCGCCACTGCGCCCGGCGAATTTTTTGTATTTTTAGTAGAGACGGGGTTTCACCGTGTTAGCCAAGATGGTCTCAATCTCCTGACCTCGTGATCCGCCCGCCTCGGCCTCCCAAAGTGCTGGGTTACAGGCGTGAGCCACCGCACCTGGCCCAGGAGTTTATTTCATAGAAGTTTGTTGTTGTTATTTTTTCTTTTTGGCTTTGGTTTATGCGTTACTGACACAAAACTAGTGGCATAATAAAAAGGGACACACTGGTCATGAAAAACTAGGACCTAAAAATGTTAGAAATGTTTGCAAGGAACTAGCCCCAGCCTTGTAAATGTAATCTATTATCTCACCAGGAAATAAGGCAGAAATGCAGTTTTTGGTTTTAGGAAGTTCAAAAGATACAATATAGACTCTTTCTGAAGTAAAAATACAAAATAGCCCACCAAAAAACACTGCTTTCTTTCTGCAAGCGAAACTCCATGCATTTGGTAGCTGAGTCTTTTCATATGCCGTAATATTATCTGATAAACATATGGGCACAAAAAATTTAAAAGGCACAGACTTTATCTTCATGAAAGACAGAGATTAAAAGTTGAAATTAAAGAATCTGAAAACGGGTGGAATCGTGTGAAATAAACACAGTTTTCCATAAACATATATCTGTTTAGCTAAATTTAGCTTTCCATTAAATTCTAAGAGATTAAAGTCATAATTCTCAAGTTCTTCCGTTATTCTCTTCTTTTTTTTGTACTTTATTTTCAAGCCCTCTGCATATTCCATCTACCTACATATCCATACACACCTTATGTGTGCACATACCCTTTTCCTTCTTTGCAATACCTATAAATTTCCATATCTCAACAAAGAAAGCGGGAAAATCCAAATTCTTTGGTCAAAGTCAGCATGTCAGTCAGCAAAAGTTAAGTCTAAAGTTAAATTTAAGCAAAAATCTGTATCACCCAATACAAACACTGTAAGTGGCCTTATTTTAGTTCTCACAAGAGAACACGCATCCCTTTGGTTCTTTTTAAACTGGTTTCCATGTTTACAGAATGAGGCTGCTTAGTTGTGCACATCCCAAGAGACTTAGCTAATCCTGTACTTGCTGTTCACACAGCCACATTCCCATCACTGTGTCAAAGCCCAGAGCCACCCTGGAGAATTCTCCCATAGGCCCTCCAAAAGTTGCAGCTGGCGCAGCTTATCTTAGAGCCTCACTTACAGAGAAGGTATTGCGAAGTTGCTACAAAGTGCTTATTAGTTTCTATGACAACTGCAGCCCACAATTTAGTTTGGAAAATATCCTTTCAGTGTAAGAAATGAATAGAAACTTTCACCAACAAAGATTTTCTTCTGACTCATAGACACCAAGCCTAAATTCAGTTCTACTACCACCAACTTTTTTAAATATTCAATTCTATTTCTTAACCCCAGCTGCCATCCCAAACCCAAATTATTCTAACAAAGTAGTCTAATTGTTATTTCCCCTATTTACCTAAAGGTAATATTCAGATTAAACTATTTAGGACATGGGGATTTAAATTTTACACATTAACCTTTCAGGATCTTTTTTAAAAGTTTCATAGTAACAGTTCAAAATCTTAATCTCCTTGTAATCATCAGCTCATTCACTGAAGTTTCTTATTTAAATCATTATTCCCAAATTATTGTTATTGATCTACAAACAAGCAGATTGGATTGAGATGAAATGCAAAAAAAAAAAAGCATAAGATTATGTTAGGGCAATTCAAACCTCAAGTTCAAATATTTAGGTGGCAAACAGCATGGTGGCTGGTACTACTTTGAAAAATGTTTTACTGCTTCATCCTTCTATTTAGATATTTGAAATATTAAAATATTTGAGTGGAGAGAAAGAGGTAAAGTATGATTCTGTTTAGAATTTGCAGGTCTTCCATTGTTGGAGAAAGAATTCAAGTGTCAGATATTACTGGAGATACTCAAATTTTTTATCTTCACTTCGGGTTTTATTTATTAAGAGTTTTTAGTCGATTTTACTTTTTATGCCTGTTTACAACAAACCATAAGATAGCTCCATTTCAAAGTTATCTGTTTCCACTGCCACCCTGTACCATAGACTTTAAGTGATTGGATACATGTCTTATCCAGCCTATATGAAGAAAAAAACATCCTTCATATAGCACTGTTTTCTAAGATGCACGTGTTTAGGTCTTTCTAAATCAGTATAAAATGCAGTTGAAGAAAATTATCTTTTTAAACATTTTATGAAGTCTTGTCACAACAAAACCTAAAATCTGAGCAATACTAAAAGAGAGGACACTGTGATAAAGAATCACTGAAGTCTCTGGACTTTCTATTATAAAAGTGGTTCTCTTTCAAGATGAGCTTTCACTTTAAAAAAAAAAAACAAAATCAAAGGAGATCTAACAAAGAAAGACCTGCAGATTCTAAAACAGAATCACAGAGAACTGGGCCATATTAATAGCAATGCAGTGTAATTGAGTGCATCTAAAAGATACTATTGTTTGCATTTTCCCTGGTTTGTTAAAATAACTCTACATGAATGGGATGGCCATTCTTAGAGCTCCACAACATTCATGCCACTTCAGCACAGGAGCAATCAAATATGTCAAAACAATATTAAAATAATTCTCCAGTATCTTTGACCTGGGTTTCAGATGCTAGAATGGCCAAATCCACACAGGAGCCTCCCTCAGGTTCTAGCAGTGAGAGTCCAATTCTGCCATCAATAACTAAAAAATGGCCACCAAATCTCCCCAAGCAGTGCTTCTCAAACTGTACTGTATATCAGATGAAGGTGGAGAGCTTGAAACACAAATATTTCTCGGCCCCACCTTCTGAGTTTTTCATTCAGTAAGTCTGGGGTGAGATTTGAGAATATATTTCCAGGTAACACTGATGCTATTAGTCTGGGGACCAATGGAAGTGGCAGGGGAGCAGCAAATTCTTCATAGCTTTAGAAGGTACACTGTATAGACCAGTAGTTCCCAACTTTGGTTGCATAGCAGAAATACCTGGGGAGCTTTTTAAACTCTCAGCACTCAGGCCCCCAACCCAGGCAGCACAAATCCTAATTTGGGGAGGGTCAGCCCATATATCAATAGCTTTTAAAGGCCCCTTAGTCCTTAGGTGATTCCAACATACAGCCAAAATTGAAAACAAGAAAAGACCCTATAGCAATAGTTCTCAACCTTGACTATTTCCCTAGAATCACCAGGGAAGCATCAGGGAAACATTTTTAAATCCTAATGCCAGGTTTCCACTCCCAAACATTCCAGGAAGAAAGATTTTAAAAGTTCTTGACTGATTCTAATGTGCATCAAAATTTGGAAACCACTGAATCCTAGCTAACTTAATTTTTTTTTCTTTTTTTTTTAATTTTGAGATGGAGTCTTGTTCTGTCACCCAGGCTGGAATGCAGTGGCGTGATCTTGCCTCACTGCAACCTCCACCTCCAGGGTTTAAGTGATTCTCCTGCCTCAGCCTCCTGAGTAACTGGCATTATAGGCACTTGCCACCGCACCCAGCTAATTTTTGTATTTTTAGTAGAGACAGGGTTTTGTCATGTTGGCCAGGCTGGTCTTGAACTCCTGACCTCAAGTGATCCACCCACCTCGGCCTCCCAGAGTGCTAGGATTATAGGCGTGAGCCACAGTGCCCGGCCTAACTTAAATTTTTACATTATATGTTTTTTAAAAGCAATTTACCTGAAGTCATAAAGTCATCATAATCAAGTTAAAGTTATTAATGTATTTTTTCAAATTCAAACATTTTAAAAATAATTTTTAATTAAGCATTACAAATAAATTGAAAATAGGAAAAAATATGTATTACACTAGATGCATTGTTAAAGTCAAGTAATAATTGTGGTTTTCTTTTAGGTATAATTTACATAGGTATAATTTTCTTTTAGGTGTAATTCGTCTTTTTAAATGTACAGTTCTGTAAGTTTTGACAAATACAGACAACACTAAAACCAAGGTGTAAGAAAGTTTCAGCTGAGTATGGTGGCTCACGCGTCTAATCCCAGCACTTTGGGAAGTGAAGCAGATAGACTGCTTGACCTCAGGGAGTTCAAGACCAGCCTGGGCAACATTGTGAAACCGCATTTCTACAAGAAATAGAAAAATTAGCCTGACATAATAGCATGTGCCCATGGGCCCAGCTGCTTGGGTGGCTAAGGTGGGAGGATTGTTTGACCCTAGGAGGTCAAGGCTGCTGTGAGCTGTGAGCATGCCACTGCACTCCAGCCTGGGTGACAGAGCAAGACCCTGTCTCAAAAAAAAAAAAAAGAGTTTCATCACCCTAAGAAAATTCTCTTATGACCCTTTGAAAGCAGTTTTGATCAGAATTTTCTGCCAACTTCCTCTACCCTATACCCAGTTGGTTGCACAATTGTTTTCCTTGTCCCAGCAAAGGGAGATGCATGAAACAATGGTTACAGAAGAGGATGTTGGTGTCCCTCTGTGTTGTACTGGGCAAGCTTAGCCACTATGAGGACATAGAAATAGATTTGAATCAAAACATAAATTATTATATATGTGTCTAATATTAAAATGGAATTAGATCTAGATTAAATTTAAATCTAGAGCATTATGTTTAAAAAGATGTGAACTGGTCACCTTTTGTGGATGCTAGAGAAAGTTACTATTTTGAAAACTGATGAGAAAAAGAAATGAGAATTCATCCTCCTCTCTTTTATTAACTCTGCCATTTGATAACCAAATAGTAGATGCGAGGAGTTTCTCTTTATTGAGGCATTGAAATATCATTCTGTTGCAACTCTTAATGAACTGAGGATCAATTAATGATGTTCAAAGATGGCTAATATCACAAAACGAAGAGAAAATCATGCATTATGTTCCTGCAGATGGGAAAACAACACACCATATAAAATTTTTAAATGAAACCTGAATCTGATCAAACCTCTAGGTCCAACTACCATTTCATAGGAAATACGGGGGACATGGAAACATGTTAAACTGCACCACAGGAACGCAGTCAGGGAACGTGAAACTGCAGGAAACTCTAAGAGATAAATGATCCAGTTTCTTTGACAAATAAATTCTGAGAAAGAGACAGAGATGAAGGGGGAACTTATGGATTTTAAAAAGATGTAGAATACTTATCCTAATCACCTATAGTATGTGAATCTTATTTGGATACTAACTCAAGCAATCATCAAACTTAATAATATTTATGTGAAAACTGGAAATGTGGATACAGATGACATCTAATAAGGAAATTTTTAAAATCTGTGTAATTTTTTCAATATGCTGATGGTCTACAGTAATGTTTTTAGAAGAGGGGCTTATCTTTTAGAGACAGGTACTGTAATATTTATGAATAGAGTGATATTACGTCAGAGATTTGTTTGAAAATAATACTGATGTAGGGAAAGTGAGTGGGGTAGAAAAGAAACAAGATTGGCCATAAATGCATAATTGTTAAACCTGGATCATGGGCTCAGGAGAATTTATTACATTGTTTTGCTTACTTTGGTTTATGTATATATGAAATTTGCCACAGTAAAAATTCAGAATGAAAATAAAAGGCAAAAAAGACTTCTATCCAAATGGCAATGAAGCCATCTCATTGTCTGGGGTGCCACCCAAAGTTCTTTGTCTTGTGGCCAAGGAAATCAAGGATGCAGACACTCCAAGGGTGAGGTTAGAGCAGACGTTTAATAAGTGAGAGAAAGAGAGAAAGCCCTCTGCCACAGAGAGGGGTCCCAAAAAATGGTTGCCATTTCACAGTGAAATACAAGGGTTTTTATAAACAAGCTAGTGGGGAGGGGGTATCTCATCTACATAAGGCACGAAAAACCAGTTAGAACTAGGTGTGTCATTTGCATAGGGTGAGAGTCTCTGGCAGCCCCTACCCCAACCTTTTATTGCACAGGCAGGTTCTTGGCCTAAGTAACTTCATGTTGCTTATGTTTTTTACTGTGCATGTGTTAAGGGGGCAGAATCCTCCACGGTGGACATGCCTGGCCAAAAGTAGTTCCTCTTACAGGTGCAGATGCAGGCACCCCTGCCTCATGCAAGCTTCCTTATCTGAGAATGTCCAAAAAGGAAAGGAAAGTGCTCACTAGGGCCCACTGTGCTTACTGGGGCCCACCAAATGGATGTGAAGATTGCTGATTACACAGGAGGGTCCCTCTCTGTGTTGGAACTTGCTCCTTATCTACGTTTGCAGCCCCATCTTCCAGGCTGCTCTTTGTTAGAGAAGGAATTCTGCCAAGGACTCTTTGCCCTAACTATCTGCCTAGCTAGTTCCTTTCTTCCTTCTCTCTCAGCAATAACAGGATTATTAATAAGAGCCCAAAACTGGGGGGAAAAAACATCAATCAGTAATGGATAAACAAAATGTGGTGCATCCTCTCTGCCTACGGTGGTCTAATCTATATGGTTTTACAACCTAGAATAGCACTGTCCATGAGCCTCTATCCAAAGGCTGAAATGTGACAATTCTAGACAGAGCTGCCTGCTCAATAAAACAGTTCCCATTGTACTCAACACAGTATCCATCAAACATTTTTCTCACTGAATGGTGAAAAAAGAGTACAAGAACTCTGAAATATAGAAGGTCTAAGGTCTTCCAACATCCTACATTTAAAGGTAAATAATGTGATGCTGATTTATAGTATTTTTTTTTGTAACACTGTGATATGGTTTGGCTGTGTCCCCACCCAAATCTCAACTTGAATTCCCAGCTGTTGTAGGAGAGACCTGGTGGGAGGTAATTGAATCATGGGGGCAAGTCTTTCCCTGCTGTTCTCATGATAGTGAGTAAGTCTCAAAAGATCTGATGGTTTTATAAAGAGGAATTCCCCTACACAAGCTCTCTTTCTTTGCCTGCTGCCATCCATGTGAGACATGACTGGCTCTTCCTTGCCTTCTGCCATGATTGTGAGGCTTTCTCAGACACGTGGAACTGTGAGTCCAGTCAAACCTCTCTCTTTTGTAAATTGTCCAGTCTCGGGTAGTCTTTATCAGCAGCATGAAAATGGACTAATAAACACTAAAAGTAGATCTATTTTAAATCTTGTTTCCTTAAATCTCTGGGCAATCCTGGATTAATCAAATACACTGAAAAACTCTAGTGCATTGCCTGAATATCTAAATGCCCTAAACAGTGACACAATAAGAGATCCTTTAGTGAGAAGTTATTTGGGGGGATTTCAGAGAGCATTAAAAGAGACATGTTTTAGTATGAGGGTAGTGGTTCTTAGAACCTCTCAAGAAACAGAAGGTAGCATCAGACATGTTAATACACAAGGCTCTCAGAAAATAATATGGTTAAGAAATATGTTTCCATTTCACATGTTCTTGGGGATCATCATCTCTCTAATATCATTAACAAGGACAATAAGAAGATACAAAATCAACTGTCAGGGACAAATCTAATTAAATTCATATCTAAATTAGGACATAAATAAAGGTGGAAGCTGGGCACATTGGCACATACTTGTAAGCCCACCTACTCAGGAAACTGAGGCAGAAGGATCACTTGAGTCCAGGAGTTCAGTGCCAGCCTAGGACACAGCAAGACCCTGTCTCTAATAAATAAAAGGTGGAGGCCAGGTGCAGTCACTTACACCTGTAATCCCAGCACTTTGGTAGGCCGAGGCAGGTGGATCACTTGAGGTCAGGAGTTCCAGACCAGCCAGGCCAATGTGGCAAAGCCCCATATCTACTAAAAATACAAAAATTCACCAGGCATGGTTGCGGACACCTGTAATCCTAGCTACTCAGGAGGCTGAGGCAGGAGAATCACTTGAATCCAGGAGGTGGAAGTTGCAATGAGCTGAGATTGCATCACTGCACTCCAGCCTGGGCAACACAGCAAGACTCCATCTCAAAAATAAAATAAAATAAAAGGTGGAGAGTAAGCTCCTTATATTTGAAATACATAGTAACAAATACATTTTTAAATGTATTTAAAAATCAAAATTTCTTTTAAATCAAATCCCTCCATCACTACCTATTTATAAAACTGTAAGGCATATTTAATATTACATCTCAGTAAGAGTGCTTGCTTGTGAGTACACAGACAGGGAGTTCAGCTTGAATTCTATCATGCAGTTGCCCGCTTTTTACACATGAAATCAGAAGGACATTTCAATGTAATTTCCACTGTGCTGCAGAATTAAATCAATCAACATTATACCTGATTCATAAACCAACATTAAGCAAAGCTATTAAACAAAGTTTATTGCTCAAATTTTAATAGTGACCATATAGAACTATTTCTTTTTGTTTTTTTTTTGTTTTGTTTTGTTTTGTTTTGTTTTTGTTTTTGAGATGGAGTCTCTCTCTGTCACCCAGGCTGGAGTGCAATGGTACGATCTCGGCTCACTGCAACCTCCACCTCCCAGGTTCAATAGATTCTCCTGCCTCAGCCTCCCGAGTAGCTGGGACTATAGGCGCGTGCCACCGGGCCCAGCTAATTTTTCTGTACTTTTAGTAGAGACAAGGTTTCACCGTGTTGGTCAGGATGGTCTTGATCTCCTGACCTCGTGATCTACCCACCTCAGCCTCCCAAAGTGCTGGGATTACAGGTGTGAGCCACTGTGCTCGGCCATATAGAACTATTTCTAACTTCCTGGTCAGGTTAGAGAAGTTAGCACTTTCCAGAATATAACAGAAAAGGCATGTCAGAGACCAAGACAAGCAAGGTCTGAGATCTGAATACTTTCAAAAAAGCCTACTTGTCTCTCTGCTTCTCAGGCCCTGATTCTCAAGTTTTAGAATTGACCAGCTACTCTTTCTTCAATTTCTGAACAGCTACTCCCTCTATCATCCTTCTTCTCTGAAATCAATTACTGGTTTCACAAATTTTAATAAAGATGAATTAAAATTGATGTTAGTTTTAGAAACTAGACTGAGAATTTTCCCGTATCCCTTCAGATAATTAGAGGTACCCGAGAGTGTTAGAATTCACTGCTTGAGGGATTTTCTCAGCCAAAAATAAACATATGGTATAGGGGGCTGTTTCTTGGCAGGAAACTGCTGTCAACAAGCTCATAGGGACCTGTCATCAGGGCCCCGCACAGCCAGTGGGACGACGTGTAATATTGGCTGGCTACCTGCTCCCTCGAGCAAGTGGAAAGTAACTCTTCTGCCTTTTTGCCACAACCCTGTATATTAAACAGATGCAACTTATTTCCAAAGAGTACTTTGCTTGTGAAATTAACATTGAAAACATCGAAAGTGAAAACGCACAGGGTCAGCAGGTAGTTGGTTAAGATTCAAGCATTAACATTTACGCAAAATGGAAGCCAGTTAGGCAAAATCCAGGAACGAATATCTAGATGTAGGTATGTTCATTTTATTAACTTACAGGAATATATACTACAAGTCATATGCCAGCAATATTTTTAGTATAAAATAAAAAAGACAAATCTGTGGATTTGATGGATTCTCTGAGTTTCGCATGTGAAGGTGGATGAGTGCAGTTGGAAATCTCCAGTGCACTCTAAATTGAAGCTTGATGCCAATAAACCTGTCACTTGCGTAAATTTTAAAAGGGTGGCCTCTTCCTATGCACTGATGTATATAAACACAATATGGATATTGCTCTATGTGGGTACAGTAATAAAACTCAGCTTGTAACTGTGTCAACCCACAGTGGTCATGTAGTGGGGAGCAATTTTAAAATATTCATTCCTTGCTCCAATTAGAATTAATCAAAAAGTGTGGGTGTGCACGGTTTTGATACAACTATGGTAATATAAATAACTGGTAAAGATGAGTTACAGTTACTCATACACATGGTGGATTTAAAATTTGTTAGTAATTTCATTGAAACTCCTTTCTTGAAAAGGAGCCTATGCCAAGCACAGTGGCTCATGCCTGTAATCCCAGGACTTTGAGAGACCAACACAGGAGAATCACTTGAGGCCAGGAGTTTGAGTCAAGCCTGGGCAACATAGTAAAACCCCATCTGAAAAAAAAAAATAAAAGTTTGATTCTCCACCACTTGCATGAGGACCAGATTTCATGACTTTCTTCTAGTAAATAGAATGTGATAGAAGTGATGTCATGTTATTTCTGAGGCTGGGTCATAAAAAAAATTTAAAAATTACTCTCACCTGGCTCTTTCTATTTCAATTGCTCCACCTGGGGGGAAGTTAGCTGCCATGTCACGAGGACACTCAAGCAGCTGTGTGGGAAAGCCCATATGGAGAGAAACAGCCCTCATACCAACAATTTGTCAGCCTAATAAGTGAGGCACTCTGGAAAGCCTGACCAGAAGTGTATCCTTCAGCTCCAGTCAAGCTTTAGATAACTGCAGACACAGGGAACATCTTGACTAAAACTTCATGAGAGACTCCAAGCCGGAAGATTCAAACTAAATTATTTCTGAATTCCTGACCCACAGAAAGAGCAAGATAATAAATATTTATTGCCATTTTAAGCCACTAAGTTTGGGGGTGATTCGCTATACAGTAGCACAGTGGTCCCCAACCTTTTTGGCACTAGGGGACTGGCTTAGTGGAAGACAATTTTTCCACAGATGGTGCATCCTGGAGTTGGAGAAGTGAGGGGTAGTTTCAGGATGAAACTGTTCCACCTCAGATTATCAGGCATTAGATTCTCATAAGGAGCAAGTAACCTAGATCCCTCACATGTGCAGTCCACAATAGAGTTCGTGCTCCTATGAGAAGCTAATGCCACTGCTGATCTGAAAGGAGGTGGAGCTCAGGTGGTAATGCTTTCTTGCTGGCCATTAACCTCCTGCTGTGTGGCCCAGTTCCTAACAGGCCACTACCAGGTACCAGTCTACAGCCCAGGGGTTGGGGACCCCTCCAGTAGCAGACAACTAATACAAAGTAGATATTTGTTTGTTTGTTTTTAAGACCAGGGATTACTTAAACATTGGGTACGGATGTGCTTCCAACACTTAGCATACTTGCAGATGTCCAACTAATCTTCATTTCGCCTTGTGAAAATGCTGAACCCAAGAGAACGTCACAATTGGCCTAAAATACTCCCAAGGAATGCTTATCTCAAGGCATAAACTGGTGTTATAATAGTAACATACAAGTAAGGTATGAAAAAGGCCCTTGCTTAGGTCCTTCAGTGGTTCTTCCATCACCTTCAACATGAAATCCAAGATTTAGTATAACATGAAAGGCCCTTCATGACCTACCTCTGCCAAAAATCTCAAGCTTTATTTTCCACCACTCTTCCTATCATATATTATACTTCACAAAAATAAATTATTTATAATCCTTTGTACATAAAATGAGTCAGCAACGATTTTGAAAGTCTTTAAAATGAGAATAAAAACAGGATTACTGGCTGTCCTCATTAGCATGCTTTTCTAGATTATCCTTACTTTTCACTGTATTGGAGTTATTTTTCAACCTTGTAAGTTATAAAAAACTGATTTCAATGCAACTGTTCCAGGCCTATATTAATGCGAATGAATTGTATCTGGTAGAGATGCAGTTGATTATTGTCCTTTGGATATTGATCAGTCTTGCCTCTATTTGTAAACCTGTCTTAACACTCCTGAATGTGGTTTTTTTAATTCTATTTGAATCAGTTGTGGTATCTTATCAGTTCCCTCATTAATTAATAAGTTTAAAATTTTTGACGTGTTCATTTCATATTTGTATAAGAGTCATGATTTTAACTAATAAAAGATATTTTTAACCCATGATGATTCATTCCCCCAAACTTTTGTACATACAAAAACCTATGGCTAAAATGGTTTGATCATCTTCAGGATAAAATCCAAGCTATTTAGTATAAAATGATAAGTTTTTCACGGCTGAACCTTGCCAGATTATGTGATGCCTCCATCATGGTTACAGCCTAGGGATCTTCCATTACTAATCCTTACTAAGAAATCATCTCCTCTCCAAAGACCTCTGTAATCACCTAGCTATTTATAAGCAAAGATATGTGACCTTTGAGACAAATGGAGCAGCTTTAGGGAAGCCCTTCTGTCTGGAGGGAGCCAGGCGTGTTTGCAACATGCAAGAACTTTAGGATACAGCACAGTGGCTCACAACTGTAATCTAGCACTTTGGGAGGCCGACACAGGTGGATTATTTGAGGCCAGGAGTTCGAGACCAGCCTGGCCAACATGGCAAAATCACATCTCTACTAAAAATACAAAAAATAACTGGACGTGGTGTGCACCTATAGTCCCAGCCACTTGGGAGGCTGAGGCACAAGAATTGCTTGAACCCAAGAGGTGGAGGTTGCAGTGAGCTGAGCTCACACCACTGCACTCCAGCTTGGGCAACAGAGTGAGACTCTGTCAAAAAAAAAGTTTCTTGTGGCTGGTGGAACAGAGTGAAAGAATAATGGGAGGTGATCATACCAGTCCACTCCTGGCATGAAGACAAGGGGAAGCCTTGATGTGACTTAAGCATAGGACAAGTAATCGTTTTCACATTTTGAAGAGATCACCATAGTAGCTGAATGGAGAATGGAGGAAATAGAGAAAGGTAAATCATAGGAGATGTGGAGACCATTTTAGGAGACCATTGCAATTGTTCAGTTGAGGGATGGTGGAAACTTGAACCAGAGTGTTGACAGTAAAGACTTCTAAAAAATAATAAAGTGGATGGGTTTAAAAGATATTTGGAAAGTAAACAGGATTTGGTGATGGGTTAAATAAATGGATTGAAGCAGTGTCAGAAGTGTCTAGGAGGTTTCTGTTTCTTACCTGGATAAGAAGACAATGTATGTTCTCACTCACTGAAGGAAAGAACTTGAGAAGAGAAGCAGGACTTACAGAGCTAATGATCATACTCTTTGAAAATACAATCTTTAAAAGAAAAGAGAATTCATTTTTTAGAGTAAGGACAGTTCTAAAACATAGCTGATTACATACACAAAGCCAAATTTTCTGGGTGGGATATTTTAGCCCATTGTTGGAATATCCATTAAAATCAAACCATTGGCTCATGAAATATCAGGCCATGAACTTTAGAGAATGGAAAATAGCTAAGTAGGCTAAACAATACGCAACAATGAGGGCTTACCCTGGCTCAGATAACAGCACCATGTGGCTTTTTTCAAATGATTTAATCCTTGTCCCTTCATCTGAAAAGAGCATCTGAATAAGTAACACATGAATAGCAGTCTTACCCCCAAATGTAAGATGAATTCAGTCTTCCTGAACTGATACTTCATCTGTGATGTTAGTCATCCCAATATGGACCTTTTTCACTTAAACTATCCAATTGGGCTATCTACCTTAATCAAGTTACCCAAATAATTACAGAGTATCCATATCAGTTCATGTTGATTTACAGACTAAAAGTTTATTTTATTTGAGACATTCTTTCTATTTTTAATTCTAATTTCTATAGATTTAAGATTCAGGTCTCTCACACTTTTTACAGTTAATAACATTTTGTGTGATTGCTTCGAGAAAGGCTATTTGAAATTGGTATTTATGGTAAATATTATTTGAATATTTTGTATCACCATTAGGCTAGTAATAGTTTAAACTTAATTATGAAAATAGTAGTCCCCAAAGTAAGAACAGAATCAAAATAGAAAAGTAATGAGAACAAAATAATGGAAAAATTAAAACAGTTGGATATGGATTATGATCCAAGGAATTCCTATAATTTGTATCCTATAATTTGTATATAATAGAAAGTTGGAAAAAATGTAATATCAGATAAAAATATGAGAAATAAGATGAACATTTACCCTATTGGAACTCATCATTTGGTTTACATCAGCAGAAACTAATTATGGTAATTGTAAGAATTTGTGAAAACTTTGAGTGTGACAGAGATTACAAATGATATTTATAAGAATAACAAATAATTTATTTAGGGATGAGACTGCAAAACAGCAACCCCTTCGTTAATGAAGGAATTACAATGTAGGCAAAGTGTACTAAAAAAGATTATTTTCTCTCCTGATAGCAAAAGCTTAATTCAACCTTTTTGTTTTAACTCTAGGAAGTCCTAATTGAAATTCTTTTAAATGCATCATAGATGCTTTGCAGGAAGGATATCGGAGCAAACACATTTATTTAAAACATTCTCTAATGCCCAGTAAAAGAACCAAAGTAAGAAAAATGTTAAATAAAACTATCTATACTGACATCCAAAAGGCCCCAATTTTGTACACAAACTATAAGGAGTATTTATCAGCTGTATATCATTTAGACCAAGTTGAGTACAGATAATCAAACCAACCCATCATTTCCCAGTTTAAGAGCACCATGCAGCCTTGCAGGAAGGAAGTGGGAAAGACTCTCAGGTTCCCACTGACACCTTCAGCCTCCCAAATCTATAATCCAACCAATGGGCAGGGTATAGGAATGCAGGAAGGCCTCCTCTTAGGCAGTTTTCTTCTATAGATCAGCAGTAAAGGAAAAGTTAGAAGAGATACCAATATATGTACTTTGTCTTCAAATATGTCTTTCTAAATACATTAAACTGGGAAATGTGGGCTTGATGGCAGCTCAATTTTTAACTAACTGTTGCCTGTGCTGAGAATGAAACATTCCAACAATAACAACAACAACAAAATTAAAGGCCGGGCACAGTGGCTCATGCCTGTAATCCCAGCACTTTGGGAGGCCGAGGCAGGCGGATCGCCTGAGGTCAGGAGTTCAAGACCAGCCTGGCCAACATGGCGAAACCCTGTCTCTACAAAAAATACAAAAATTAACCAGACGTGGTGGCAGGCACCTATAATACCAGCTACTTGGGGAGGCAGAGGCCGGAGAATCGCTTGAACTCGGGAGACAGAGGTTGCAGTGAGCCGAGATGATGCCACTGCACTACAGCCTGGGTGACAGGAGATTGTGTGCTCAGGAGTGAGAACACAGAAAAACCCATGGAACTTTTTCATGATTTCTTTATGTACTGATTCTTTGACAACAGTTGTATGTAACCTTCTCAAGTGACATCTGACTTAGGAACCCAAAGCTAGCTTTTGAAAAAGCATACAGCAGATTGATAAGCATGCCTTCCTAAAAAATTTTTACCATTTTAATTAACAATAAGCCAGATGCAGGAGTCTTTTCACTTTGATCATTCCTTTAATAATGAGCAATGCACATTTTTAAACCTAGTTTATTTATATTAGCTGAATGGTTGATAATAATAATTATTATTATTATAATTTGTTGAAATCTTACTCTATAGCCAGGCACTGGGTTACATGCTTTGATTACACACAGCACTCATTTTATTTTCAAAACAAGATTACGAAATAGATATTATTATCCCTATTTAAGAGATGAGAGAGCTCATCAATCTCATTAGGTGCCTCCTCAAGTTAAATTCTACATCTAGTGATAAAAATAAAACCCTTCTAAAAGCGATCGAAACAGTAATATCTTTTTAAAAATATGTTGTTCAGCCGGGAGTGGTGGCTCACGCCTGTAATCCCAGCACTTTGGGAGGCCAAGGAGGGCAGATCACCTGAGGTCAGGAGTTCAAGACCAGCCTGGCCTGTTAACATGGTGAAACCCCATCTCTCGTAAAAATACAAAAATTAGCCGGGCGTGGTGGCGGACACCTGTAATCTCAGCTACTCAAGAGGCTGAGGTAGGAGAATTGCTTGAACTCAGGAGGCACAGGTTGCAGTGAGCCAAGATCATGCCACTGCACTTCTGCCTGGGCTAACAGAGCAAGGTTCCTTCTCAAAAAAATATAAAATAAAAAATAAATATGTTATTCACTCCAGGAGTAACTCCTAGAGGGAAGTTATCTCTAAAATAGAATCAAAGCATTTGAATTACTGGCCCAATGTCACTCATGCTAGGTAAGAAGTAGCAAACCTACGATTTAAATCCAGTTCTATTCATGTTCTAAGTTCATGCTTTTACTAACCCCAACACTCTACTGCTTCAGTGACCTTTGATTTCACAAAGATTCTTATAGCAACTCCTTCTGAGTTTTTTAAATCATATAATACATGTCAGTCAATATTTTATAGATCTGCCAATATTTCCCTTTGTTTTTAATTTTCAAGTCACACTCAGACCTTTATATTTCTGTTAAACTGAGCACAACATTCTTATACTTCTGCCTTTTGTCTTTCCAGGGAGATAGACGATATACTGAGATATAGACAAATATTATGATCACTCTGTTGCTTATATATATTCAACTTTACACTATTGTATAGGCTACATTCTTCTATTTTGTTGTGACTTACGTTGCCACTTTACTTCATACAAAAAGCCTCTTCACAGTTCAACTGTATAAGCTTATGTGTCTTCATAATAACTGCTGCTTTCTTCCTCTCCTCCCCACCTAAAAACATTAGCGTCCAATGATGCTTAGCTTACATTTTCATAAAATACCCCATATTCCAGTCTACTGAGCTATCCCCTGCCTGACGTGCTTTTATAAGGACACAAAGTTGCCGTTACAAAATACTAAAATCTAAATTACATTTTGACTTTTATGTCTATCTTCTGACTTTTTAATACTAACTTCCCTTTCACTGCTATCAGAAAACTTTGGCACATAATCCCTAAATCCTTGTAATTGTCAGGACTCTTCTAATATTTACTCTGTATTTGCTATTGCCTGTCCCCTTCTCTTAGGTCCTCTACTATTTTTCCCTCTTTTGATTCATTCTTCTGTTCTCCTCTCATTACTTTCTTAGCTTTTATATAGAATAAATAGAGTAACCTTTTTTATACTCAAATATGACATGATTTCAGATGAGATGTCAGGTTTCCTGCTCACTAAATAACAAAGTATCTCTACAAATGTTTTCATTTTCACTTTTATTTATGATTTATTCTCTGCAAGAGTTTATCTGTCACATGTACATTTGGACCAGGTTAGAGGAGCTAAGTTGGAAAATTAAATCAAATAACAGCCTGTGAATTTCCTTTTGATATAATAAAAAAAAATTTATTTGTAAGCCTATCTAAATAGTCAAGCTTTTCACAAAATGTTATAAAAATATTTTATTTTCTAGTTTCTACTGTTGATTGATTTATAGTTTTGATACACCAGGAATTTAAATTACAGGTTACAACTGTACAACTCTACAAGTATGTGGAAAAAAACTGGACAGACACACCAACTTTTTATCTCCTTTTATCTTCTTAGTCTTCATGATGAATTGATTCGATGTGTTTTCTGATTAATTCGTCTTGCAATTCAATAGCATGAAAATAAATAACCCAATTATAAAGTGATCGAAAGAACTGAATAGACATTTCTCCAAAGAAGACATACAAATTAATGGCCAACAGGTATATGAAAACATGCTCAACATCACTAATCATCAGGAAAATGCAAACCAAAACCACAATGAGATATCACCTCATGCCTGTTATGATGGCTATTACTAAAAAAATTAAAAAGATAAGAAGCGTTGGCAAGGATGTGAAGCAAAGGGAACCATTATATACTTTTGATGCTAATGTATGTTGGTGACATCACTATGGAAAACAGTACAGAGTTTCCTCAGATATTAAAAATAGAACTATCATATGATCCAGCAAGCCCACTTCTGAGTGTATTTCCAAAAGAATTGAAATCAGAATCGTGAAGATATAGTGTACTTTCATGTCCATTGCAACAATATTCACAAAAGCCAAGGCATTGAAGCAAAACAAAAGTCCTTCAACAGATTAATGGATAAAATGTAGTATATACATACAATGAAATATTATTCAGCCTTTAAAAAGATGAAAATCCTGCCATTTGTAACAGTATAGGTGAACATGGAGGAGAAGCATTTTGCTAAGTGAAATAAACCAGTCACAAAGAACAAATACTACATAATATCACCTATATAACGATTGTAAAGCAGTCAAACTCACAGAAGCAGAGAGTGAAATGATGGTTTCTAGGGGATGGGGGAGAGAGAAACAGGGAGATATTAGTCAAAGGGATGAAGTTTTGATTATACAAGATGAATAATTCCCAGAGATCTGCCATACAATAGTGCCTATAGTTTAAAAACATCGTATTATATACTTAAAAACTGGTTAAGAGGGTAGATTTTATGTTAAGTGTTATTCCAAGAAGGATGAGGAAGAAGAGGGGGAGGAGAGGAAGAAAGCAGCAGGTGAAAACTTTTGGAGGTGATGAAGAGGTCTATGGCATAGACTGCGGTGATAGTTTTAGGGGTATATATTTATCTCCAATCTCATCAAGTTATACAGATTAAAATATGTACAACTTTTTGTGAATCAATCATACCTCAATAAAGTAGCTTTTTAAAAAAAAACTATTACCTTAAAGGAATTGATGTTGTGGTAAATTGCATCACCAGCCCCAGTTCTTCACCCCCTCACTATATCCATGCTGTGATTTTGACATGTGATTTTTGCATTTTGTCCCATTCAAAGTGTACAGTATTTCTCCACTCCTTGACTTTGGGTTTGGTCATATAATTTGCTTTGACCAATATTTCAAAAACAACTGTGAGCTATCTCTGAGCTTAGACCTTAAGAGTTGTTACATGTTTTCACTTCTTCTCATGTGTCTCTACCGCTGCAATAAGAACATGCTAGAAAGCTCATTCTCCAGGAGAATGTGAAATTTATAAACATAACCAGCTACCCCAGCCAAGAACACCCAATTTCCAGGAGCTACCCACATTCCCATGAGCTAAATAAATGCTTATTATTGTATGCCACAAAGTTCTAAGGTGATTGACAATCTGCTACTTTGTAGCAATAAGTAACTGACATAGATATTTATGGATATAAAATGTGCTGTTAGCAATCATCAGTCATACTAGATGTATGTACTTTTACCATATTCCAAGTACGTACCAGTCAAAATCAAGACTACTTCTCCATTACTGCCTCCCCTTTTTAAATGTCTCCTTTAAGAAAGAAGCCTCAAAATCTAGATGCAATAGGTACTGCCAATTGCTTAATTCACATAAACAACCATTATAAATAATAACTAATCCTATTATGTATAGGCTTTGAGTTTCTTTACCAAAAGAAGATTTTAAAATTACATTTTAGACCAGGCGCGGTAGCTTACACCTGTAATCCCAGCACTTTGGGAGGCAGAGGCGGGTGGATCACCTGAGGTTGGGAGTTCGAGACCAGCCTGACCAACACAGAGAAACCCCGTCTCTACTAAAAGTACAAAAATTAGCCGGGTGTGGTGGCACATGCCTGTTATCCCAGCTACTCGGGAGGCTGAGGCAGGAGAAGCGCTTGAACCCGGGATGCAGAGGTTGCCGTGAGCTGAGATCGTGCCATTGTACTCCAGCCTGGGCAACAAGAGCGAAACTCTATCTCAAAAAAAAAAAAATTACATTTTAGAACCATGGCTGCCTAAAAAGGTAGACCTGAAGGCTACCTTTGAAGGGGATGACAACTTATCTCAAACATATTCATTATATGACTAGGATTGCCACTTGTCAATTAATTTTTGATGATTCATTTGGTTTTCTTGATATTTTTGTCACTAAAAGACTTTTTTTTTAATTCACTTGGGTCAATCCCCAATTTTAACCAATATAATAGCATGCTTAATTTTATTTTTGCATTCCACAGTCCTTGATAATAGCAAACTAATTTCTGTAGCTGCATTTGATGAAAATATGCTGATGGAACTCATATTTCATACCATTGACTATAATGAGCTATTTTATCAAACTGTCCTTATGACAGTATTGTAGAGAAAATGATAAATTTACTAATTTATTCACTTGAGATTCCATTTAAAATTTTTAAAAGAAAGGAAAAGATCAATGAAGTCAGGTAAATTAGGCTTTCCTAAATGATATGTCTGAGTCTCTATGAAACAATAGCACTAATCATTCCTGCTCTTAATCAAATGCTAACATTAAAAAATTGTTGATTAACTATTACTTTTAATAATATTCTACAGAACAAATAGGAAGCTGTAAAATGTCCTATTGTGAACATATATGCACAATGTTTGCTCACAATCAGGGTAATTATTACCATGATTTCATAAAGAATTGGTTTCTTATCACTTTGTTGGGGTTTTTTATTTTTACTCAGCTTTAATTTAGAAATTATCAATCAGTAAATACATCAATTAATGAAAGTAACTCATTATTTTGTGGGGTCTTTCAAAAAACTTTGTAGTAACTAAAAACTGTAGCATAACATTTCTTTCTGAGACTCTGAGATGCCAACTACATAGATGGTGCTGATATTGGTGAAAATACAATCACATATACAATATGCTAAAACACCTTTCATCAATTATTGTGCTCTATAGAATTTATGCTCACTGAACTCCAGAAACAATATTAACCTGGAGCTGGTCAGTCCTTCATGCTCTGGATAAACAATCTTCAAACATTACATGACCATGACATTCTGTTTTATAATCTTTTCTTGAAATAAAATGAATTTATTGATTTTTTTCATTTATAAGCCATTGGCAATGAAAATAATGGCTCTAATAAATTATTTAACATGATTTCTTCTTTAGGGATTCATTCTATCATGAATGTCTCTCACATCTGCTAAAAAGAAATCACATAGAGTAAGGTTATTTTACGTGACAACCATGTTCTTGTAAATGTTCACAGTAAAATGCCTTGAAGCCACAACAGATAGTGTTTCTTTCCTTTCTCAATGTTCCTTTTATTTTTAACATTTTCTATGTACTACGCGAAAACTGCTACCTTTTCCTCAATTCAATTAATAAATACTCTCCAAAATTCAAATATAATAATGAGTTCTAAAAGATAAGATTAGGAGAACATTCCTAGTCGAATGTGATACAAGAAAAATGAAACTATAATATCTGAGAAACCCCAAATCTTCACTAAATAAATAGTAGGAACACAGTTTGACTTTGGAATTTTAGTGCTGAATTCCAATATCCTCTGGGGCTGTCAGATCTAAGGATAGAGGGCCTTTTAAAAATAAGCTATTTTCATGTAGATACATATTCTGCTATTTTACAATAACCAACTGTTCCTCAAAATAATAATTAAAGAGGAGAACTGATCTTACCTTGACTCATTTGGGTACAAACAAATAGTCTGCTGTTTATACAATCTGAAAAACAGCGCTACAATCATCAAGATGGATGACTAAAGGTGCTCAACACTTGCCCCCCAACAAAGATCCAAAAACAAACATATGACAACACATCAAATGGAATATCTAGGGGAGAACACAGAAATTCAGCAAAGAAGTGCCAAAGACCTTCTGCAGCACAGAGATTCAGAATGGCAGCATAAAGAAGGAAGCAAACCACATGGGCCAGGATCATCTTGGGGTCAAGAGAGGCTCCCCACCCTAAGAAAAGGGCAAACAGGAGATCCTTAGTAGTCTGCATTTCCACCACAGATGCCTGGTATCCTAGCTTCACAAGAGCCCCATAGCCCTTGCTAGTCCTAAGCCTGGTGTAAAGAGCTGCCTAGAGTCCATCTGACTGCATTATTCTGGAGAGGAAATTTACACTCCCCCTCCACACACACACTCAGTTATTCAGGCTGCCACAGAACATCACCACCTTGAGAGTGAAGCCACCATCAGAGTGCATCCTGCCCTGGGGCCCAATAGCCCCTGCATCTCCACATACCTGAGGCCTCACCAAAATCCTACCACATCCACCCTGAGGCTGAAGCAACAAGAAAACAGCTGAACCCAGCAGTGTGGTCATGATTACAGCACCCAAGCCTATACAATGCCCTATCAGGGTGCAAGCAGTCCAGCACAGTGGGAAGACAGGCCCCCAGGAAAGAGGGAGCTGATGTGTATGCTCCCCAGAACCTGAGACCCATCAGACTGGGTCCCACTGCCACCACTAGTAACCCTTCCTCCTCCATAGCAAAGGTGTCCTACACCCAGACACATGCATGCCCCCCATTGGCCTGAAGACTGGCCCACCGAGTGCCTGCCACCTCCACCAGTGACCCAATTCCCTACAAAACAAAGTGCCACACACCCATGTGCACCCCCCAACAGAGCAAAGAACTGGCCTGCTTGTCATCCCAGCACCCAGAAAAGCTATTCCACAACTTCCAAAAATAACTGCAGCCTAGGCCATGGAGGTACTTGTAGTCACCACCGACATTGATTACAGCAAAGAAACCAAATGGAAACTACACTACTCTACCCTCCAAGAGTCAAAGCCAAAGCAGCCTACCCAACTGAAACTACAGGACACATCTACAGCAAAAAGTCTTTCCCTATTCAAGCTACTTCATAAACTGGAGGAAGTGACAATTACATCAAATGTGCAGATATAAAGGGATAACACAAAAACTATGAAAGGGCAAGGAAACATAACACCTTTAAAACAACACAATGATTTTCCAGTAACATGCCTAAAAGGGAAATTTAAATAATGACTTAAGAAATCTCAGAGAGATACAAGATAACACATATACACAATTCAATAAGATCAGGAAAACAATTCCTCTGACTGAGAAATTCAATAGAGATAGGTATCATTTTTAAAAAACTGAAGTCTTAAAATTGAATAATTCAACAAGTGAAATAAAAAATAGAATTGAGAGCTTCAGTGATACACTAGATCAAGCAGAAAAAAGAATTTCTGAACTTGAAGACAAGTCTTTTGAAATAAGCTAGTCAAGCAAAAAATAAATAAATAAATAAAGCCTATGGAACATATGGGACACCAGTAAACAAACAAACAAAAAAATGCATTATGGAAATTACAGAAGGAGAAGAAATGAGAAAAGGTATTTCTTAAAAAACCTATTTAATGAAATAATAGCTGAGAGTTTCCCAGGTCTAGAGAGAGATATGGACATCCAGATTCAGGAAGCTCAAAGATTCCCAAACAGACTCAACTCAAAAAGTCCTTCCTAAAGCATATTTTGGTCAAGTTGTCAAAAGTCAAAAACAAAAAGAGAATTCCAAAAACCAGTGAAAGTGTCAAGTCAGATATAAAGAAATCCTCATCAGGCAGACAGCAGATTTCTCAGCAGTAACCTTACAGACCAGGAGTGAATAGGATGATATATTCAAAGTGGTGAAAGAGAAAAAAAAAAAAAAAAAAAAAACTATAAGCCAAGAATACTATACCCAACAAAGTCATCATTCAAAAATGAAGGAGAAATAAAGTCTCCCAGACAGGCAAAAACTGAGGGAATTCACATATAAATGAGTTCTACAAGAAATGCTTAAGGGAGTCTCACATCTGGAAGCAAAAGAACTATAACTACCATCATAAAAACACATGAAAGTATAAAATTCACTGATAGAGCAGATACACAAATGAGAAAGAGAAAACAATCAAATGTTATAACTTCAGAAAACTGTCCAACAACAAAGATAAACAATAAGAGATGAGGAAAGGAACAAAGAATATATAAAGTGACCAGAAAATAATTAACAAAATCATAAGAGTAAGTCCTAACCTATCCATAACAACTTTGAATGTAAGCAGTTTAAATTCCACAATTAAAATACACAGACTTGCTTAAAGAATTTTAAAAGCAAGACCCAAGTATATGCTGCCTTCAAAAACTCACTTCACCTATAAAGACACATAGACTGAAAGTGAAGGGATGAAAAAAGATATTCCACAAAAATGAAAACCAAAAGTGAGCAGGAGTAGCTATTGCTTGCATCACACAGCATAGACTTTAAAACAAAAAACATTTAAAGCGACAAAAAAGTTCATTACATAATGATAAAAAGGATCAAGTCAGCAAAAGGCTATGACAATTGTAAATATGTATTCACCCAACCCTGAAGAACTCAGATATATAAAGCAAATATTATTAGAGCTAAAGGAAAAAAATCCAACTATAGGCCCCAGTACAATCATAGTTGAGAACCCCTTTCTCAGCATTGGACAGATTATTTAGACAGAAAATCAACAAAGAAACATCACAGGTAAACTATACTATAGACCAAATGAACCTAAGAGACATTTATAGGACATATTATCCAACAGCTGCAGAATATATATTCTTCTCATCAGCACATGGAACATTCTCCAGGATGGATCATACATTAGGCAACAAAACAAGTCTCAACAAATTTTTAAAAATTGAAGTTATATCAAGTACCTTTTCAGACCACAATGGAATAAAACTAGAAAATAATAACGACAGTAGCTTTGGAAACTGTACAAATACATAGAAATAAAACAACATGCTCCTGAATGACCAGTGAGTGAAAGAAGTAATTAAGAAGAAAATAAAAAATATATATTTGAATGTAAATGACTTAAATTCCATAATTAAAAGGTATAGACTTGCTGGATGAAAACACAACATATTAAAACCTATGAAATAAAGCAAAGGAGTACTAAGAGGAAAGTTTACAGCAAAAATTCCTACACCAAAAAAATTTAAAAGATTTAAAATAAACAACCTAATGATATACCTAAAGGAACTAAAAAGGCAAGAACAAATCAAATCAAAATTAGTACAAGAAAATAATAAAGATCAGAGCAGAGCTAAACAAAATAAAGACTAAAAAAAGAAGATTGACAAAACAAAAACCTGGCTTTTTGAAAAGATAAACAAAATCAAAAGATCATTAGCTAAACTATGAAAAAAAGAGAGAAAACCCAAATAAATAAAATCAGAAATTAAAAAGGAGATGTTACAACTTATACCACAGAAATGCAAGGATCACAGATACTATTGTAAACACCTATGAGACAACAAATTGGAAAAGCTAGAAGAAATGGATAACTTCTGGACATATACAACCTGCCAGGATTGAATCATGAAGAAATAGAAAACCCGAAAGAACAATAGCAAACAACAAAACTGAATCAGTAATATAGTCTCTCAATAAAGAAAAGCCTAGGACCAGGTGGCTTCACTACTGAATTTTATCAAATACATAAAGAAAAATGAATACCAATTCTTCTCAAACTATTTGAAAAAAATGAAGGGAGGGAAGTCTTCCTAACTCATTCTACATGACAAGCATTATCCTGATACCAAAACCCGACAAGAACGTAACAAAAAAAGAAAACTATAGGCCAATATTCCTGATGAACACAAATGCAAAAATCCCCAACAAAATACTAGCAAAACAAATTCAATAGCACATCAGGAAGAGTATACACCATGAGCAAGTGGGATTTATTTCAGGGATGCAAAGATGGTTCAACATACAGAAATCATAACATACACAATCAATAAACATGGTATATCACATCAACAGAATGAAAGACAAAACCATATGATCATCTCACTAGATGCAGACAAATCATGTGATAAAATTCAACATCCCTTTATGACAAAAGCTCTCAATAAATTAGGTATAGCAGAAACATCCTCCAGTATAATAAAGGCCATATACGACAAACCCATAGCTAACATTATACTGAATGGGGAAAAGTTGGAAGCTATTCTTCTAAGAGGTAGAACAGAAGGATACCCAGTTTCACCATTCTTATTCAACACAGTATTGGAAGTCCTAGCCAGAGCAATTAGCCAAGAGAAAAAATAATGTGGGCTGGGTGCAGTGGCTCACGTCTGTAATCCCAGCATTTTGGGAGGCTGAGGCAGGTGGATCACCTGAGGTCGAGAGTTCAAGACCAGCCTGGCCAATATAGTGAAACGCTGTCTGTACTAAAAATACAAAAAATTAGCTGGGCATGGTGGCAGGTGCCTGTAATCCCAGCTACTAGGGAGACTGAGACAGGAGAATGGCTTGAACCCAGGAGGCAAAGGTTGCAGTGAGTCGAGATTGTGCCATTGCACTCCAGCCCGGGAAATAAGAGTGAAACTTCATCTCAAAAATAAATAAATAAATAAAGTGCATCCAAATTGAAAAATCATCAAATTGTCCCTCTTTGCAGATGATATAATCTTATACATATAGAAAAACTTAAAAACTCCAACAAAAAACCTCTTAGATTTGATAAATGAATTCAATAAAGTTGCACGACACAAAATTAACATACAAAAATTTGTAGTATTTACAAACACCAATAACAAACTAGCTGAAAAAGAAATCAAGAAAGTAATTCATTTACAATAGCTACAAAAAAAATAAAATACCTAAGAATATATTTAACCAATAAGGTGAAAGATGTCTACTATGAAAACTACAAAACACTGATGAAAGAAATTGAAAAAGACACAAAGAGAAAGATGTTCATAAATTCAAAAAACTAATATTGTAAAAATGACAATACTGTCCCAAGCCATCTACAGATTCAATGCAATTCTTATGAAAATACCAATGACATTCTTCGTAGAAATTTTTTAAAAATCCTAAAAAATGACACATGGACCAATGGAACAAAATAGAAAACTCAGAAATAAATCCATGTATTTATGGTCAACTGATTTTAGACAACAACTCCAAGAACATATGTTGGAGAAAGAACAATCTCTTCAATAAATGATTCTGAGAAATTTGATATCTACATGCAGAAGAACTAAACTAGACTCCTATCTCTCACCATACAATAAATCGACTCAAAATGGGTTAAAGAGTTAAATGTAAGACCCAAAACTATACAGTTAACAGAAAAAAAAGCACAGGGGAAATGCATCAGGAAATTTGTCTGGAAAAAGGTTTTATGGCTAAGACCTCAAAAAAACAGGCAACAAAAGCAAAAATAGACAAGTGAGATTATTTCAAACTAAAAAAGTTTCTGCACAGCAAGGAAAAAAATTAACATAGTGAAGAGACAACCTGTAGAATGGGAGAAATTATTTGCAAATTATTCATCAGACAAGGGACTAATATTCAGAATATACAAGGAACTCAAACAATTAAACAGCAAAAAAAAAAAAATCCAATTAGAAAATGGAAAAAGAATCTTCTATCTTCTCAAAAGAACATAGTATAGTTTCAATGTTTGCCCTCTCCAAATCTCATGATGAAATGTAATCCTCAACGTTATAGTTGGGGCCTGGTGGGAGATTATTGGATCACAGGAGCTAATCCCTCATGAATGGCTTAGCACCATCCCCTTGGTAATAGCAGAGTTCTCCATCAGTTCACATGAGATCTGGTTGTTTAAAAGTCTAAGACTTCCCACTTCTCTCCCTCTTTCGCTCTCACTCTTGCCATGTGACATTGCTTGCTTTCCCTTTGCCTTCCTCCATGATTGGAAGCTTGCTGATACTCTCACCAGAAACAGATGCTGCAGTTGTACTTATACAGCCTGCAGAACCATGATCCAATTAAACCTCTTTCCTGGCTGGGTGTGGTGGCTCATGCCTGTAATCCCAACATTTTGGAAGGCCAAGGCAGGAGGATTATTTGAGCCCAGGTGTTCCAGACAAGCCTGGGCAACAGAGAGACCCCATCTCTACAAAAAAAAAAAAAAAAAAAGGAAAGAAAAGAAAACAAGAAATAAAATTAATTAATTTTAAAAACCTAATTTCTTTATAACTTACTTCATTTCAGGTATTCCTTTATACTAATAAAAAAAGGGCCTAATATAGAAAATTCATACTGAGGAGAGAGGCATTGCCATAAAGATGCCTAAAAGTGTGGAAGCAGCTGGGCGCAGTGGCTCACGCCTGTAATCCCAGCACTTTGGGAGGCCGAGGCAGGTGGATCATGAGGTCAAGAGTTCGAGACCAGCCTGGTCAATATGGTGAAACTCCATCTCTACCAAAAATACAAAAATTAACCAGGCATGATGGCGCGCACTTGTAGTCCCAGCTACTTGGGAGGCTGAGGCAGAAGAATCACTTGAATCCAGGAGGAGAAGGTTGCAGTGAGCCAAGATCACACCACTGCACTCCAACCTGGGTGACAGAGCATGATTCCATCTCAAAAAAATAAAAAATTAAATTAAAAAACATGTGGAAGCAGATTTGGAGCCCGGTAATAGGCAGGGATTAAAAGTGTTCAGAGGGCTCAGAAGAACACAGAAAGATGAGGGGAAGTTTGAAACTCCTTAGAAACTGATTAAATAGTTGTGATCAAAATGCTGATAGAGATATGAACAGTGAAGGTCAGGCTAATAAGGTCTCAGATGGAAATAAGGAACTTATTGGAAACTGGAGTAAAGGTCACAATTGTTACTCCCTAATAGAGAACTTGGCTGCCTTGTTTCCATGTTCTAGGGCTTTGTGGAAGTTTGAACTTCAGAGCAATTACTTAAGGTAATGACTTAGAAGAAATCTCTAAGAAGCAAAATCTTCAAGAAGTGGCATAGCTGCTTCTAACAACCTATAATTTTAAGTGGGAGCAAATAAATGACTTACAGTTGGAATTTATAATTAAAAGGGAAGCAGAGCATAGCCTGGCCAGGTGGTAGAAAAGGAAAGCCCATTTTCAGTGAAAGAATTCAAGAGGACTGCAGAGCAACCATTTGCTAAACAGATTATCATGACTAAAAGGGAGGCAAGTGCTAATATCCAAGACAATGGGAAAAAGGCCTCAAAGGAATTTCAGAGAACTTCCAGGCCTCTCCTTCCACCATGGGCCCACAGGCCTAGGAAGAAATAATGGTTTCAGGGGCCAACCCCAAGGGCCTGCTACCCTGCACAGCCTTGGGACATTGCTCTCCACATCCTAGCTCTTCTGGCTTCAGCCTCAGCTCAAAGGAGTCCAGGTAAAGTGCAGATTACAGCTCTAGAGTGTGCAAGCCATAAGTTTTGGCAGTTTTCATGTGGTGTTAAGTGTGGCAGATGCTCAGAATACAAATGGGAAAGAGGCCTGGTGGCTTCTACCTAAGTTTCAGAGGATCTATCAGAAAACCTGGGTGCATAGGGAGAAGCCTGCTGTAGGGGTGGAGCCCCACAGAGAAACTCTACTAGCATAATGCCAAGGGAAGATGTGGGGCTGGATCTCCTGTGCAGGGTCCCCACCAAGGCACTGCCTAGTGGAGCTGTGGGAAGAGGGTCACCTCCCTCCAGACCCAGAATGTTAGAGCCACTAGCAGCTTGTATCCTCAGCCTGGAAAAGCTGCAGACACTCAACCTGTGAGAGCAGCCATGGGGGATCCACTCTGCAAAACCACAGAGGCAGAGCTGCCCATGGCCTTGGGAGTCCACTTCTTACATCAGTGTACCCAGGATATGGGATATGGAGTCAGAGAAGATTATTTTGGAGGTTTAAGATTTAATGACTGCACTGCTGGGTTTCAGACTTGCTTGAGGCCTGTTGCCCCTTTCTATGGGCTGACTTCTCCCTTTTGGAATGGGAATGTTTATCCAATGCCAGTACCATCACTATAGCTCTCTCTGTTTCTTGCTCTCACTCTTGCCATGTGACATCACCTGCTCTTCCTTTGCTTTCTGCCATGATTGGAAGATTCCTGAGACCCTCACCAGAAGCAGATACTGGAGCCAAGCTTGTACAGCCTGCAGAACTGTGAGTCAATTAAACCTCTTTTCTTTATAAATTATCCAGTCTCAGGTATTTCTTTATAGTAACACAAAAATAGCTTAGTACTGAAGACATACAAATGGCCAACAAGTATATTTAAAAAAAAAAGTTCAATGTCATTATCAGGGAAATAGAAATCAAAACCACAATGATACATCTTCTCACCCCAGTTGGAATGGTTATTATCAAAAAGAAAAAAGTAACAAATGATGGCAAAAAGGCAGAGAAAAGGGCACTCTTATACACTGTTGGTAGGACTATAAATTAGTACAGCCATTAAGGAAAACAGTATGGAGTTTCCTCAAAAAATTAAAAATAGAACTACCATGTGATCCAACAATTCCACTATGGGTATTTATGCAAAGGAAAGGAAATCAGTGCATCTAAGATATATCTGCATTTTCATGTTTATTGCAGCATTATTCACAATAGCCAAGATATGGAATCAACCTATTATCAACGGATGAGTGGGATAAAGAAAATGTGTTATATATACACAATGAAATATTATTCAACCATAAAAAAGAATAAAATCCTATCATTTGCAGCAACATGAATGAGCCTGGAGGACATTGTGTTAAGTGAAGTATCAGGTACAGAAAAATAAATATCACATGTTCTCACTCATTGGTGGGAGCTAAAAGTTTGCACCCATAGAATTAGAGAGTAGAACTCTCTACTCTAGGGTAGGAGGGAGAGGAAAGACAGAGGTTGGTTAATGAATACAAAATCACAGCGGGACAGGAGGAATAGGTTCTAGTTTTCTGTAGCACTGTAGGATGGCTATAGTCAACAATAGTTTATTGTATATTTTTCTTTCTTTTTTCTTTTTTTTTTTTTTTTTGAGACATAATCTTGCTCTGACACCCAGCATGGAGTGCAATGGTGCAATCTTGGGTCACTGCAACCTCCGCCTCCCAGGCTCAAGCTATTCTCCTGTCTCAGCCTCCCTAATAGCTGGGATTACAGGCACACATCACCACGCCCAGCTAATTTTTGTATTTTTAGTAAAGACGGGGTTTCACCATGTTGCCCAGGCTGGTCTTGAACTCCTGACCTCAGGTGATCCACCCACCCTGGCCTCCCAAAATGCTGGGATTACAGGCATGAGCCACCGTGCCCAGCCTATGGTATATTTTCAAATACCTGGAGGAGAGGATTTTTTTTCTCACTATGAAATTACAGTGGAAGAGAGATTTTGAATATTCCCAACACAAAGAAATGATGTTGGAGGTGACAGAGATGCTAATTACCCTGATTTAATTATTACACATTGTTTATATGCATCAATGTATCACTTTGTACCCCTAAATACATATAATTGTTACATGTCAATTAAAAATAAAATATAACTAAGGAGATAAAATATAAACATAAAGAGAAAAATATCAAGAGACAGCAGTATAAGTGTGAGAGACACTGAAAGAAAGAGCACCTTCCAGTGCAGCCCTTGCAACAGTGCCCCCACTCACTCCTGCTGTTCCTCTCCATTCCCTCTTGCACATGACTTGACTCCTCACTGTTCCTCTCCATTGCTCTTGGTAAAATACAAATTGTCCAACAGTGGCTGCTCATCTTTAACAATTCTTCCCTCCCTGAGAATCATTCTTAATCTACTCTTTCTGAAACTAGCTGAACTCCAGCTGGACACCCTTGCTAAAGCCCTTTACAACATTCCTCTCTTCTTCCTACCTTAGAAGGCTCCTTCAGTCTTATATCTAGCATTTGCAAATAAAAACTTCTCCCCACTCCATTTAAAAAAAAAAAAACAGTGCTACCATCATTAGTGAGTCTATGTTTCATCATAAAATACCTGACCAGCCGGGCACAGTGGCTCACACCTGTAATCCCAGCATTTTGGAAGGCTGAGGCGGGCAGATCACGAGGTCAGAAGATCAAGACCATCTTGGCTAACACGGTGAAACCCTGTCTCTACTAAAAATACAAAACAATTAGCCAGGTGTTGTGGCGGGCCCCTGTAGTCCCAGCTACTTGGGAGGCTGAGGGAGGAGAATGGCGTGAATCTGGAAGGCAGAGCTTGCAGCGAGCCGAGATGGTGCCACTGCACTCCAGCCTGGGCAACAGAGTGAGACTTTGTCAAAAAAAAAAAAAAAAAAACCTGACCATTATCATAATAATACCTAAAATTATGAATTATTATGTGCCAGGCTCCCATAATATTCTTGTATTGTCTTATGTAGTCCTCACCACAACCTTGTAAGCTAAATACTATTATTTTTCCATTTTACAAATACGGAAAATGACAACCTGGACATTTATTACTTAAATTCACACAATCATTATAAGTTGATGGTATGGCTGGGCTAAAACCCATCCTAGTCTAATATTTCTTAATATTAAACATTTGCTTTAATTTCTGAAGTTTTCATTTGTACTTCTGTGCCATAATTCATGAAGGATGATAAATGAGGGATTATTTATTTTCATGACAGAAAGAAATATAGCACATAATTATCCTTCCACAATATCATCAATAAACTACTGAACTAGTGGTAAAGTTCCATGAAAAAAATTAGGATTGGTCAACCCAGTATTTTTAGAAAGTTGACAAGTTTCATAAAGTGATTTGTTTTGAAAGCTACCTTTTCCATGAGAAGATATTCTGACTCCCACATTCTGGACAAATGAAGAATTCTGTCAACTTAGTGATTGGGTCACAGTTTTATTTAAGGGTTCCTTTTTCAGTGAAATACATATCACATACACCTGCATGCATGCAAAAAATAAATCCCACTTTAATTTTTAAAAATTTAAATGACACTTTAAAAAAGATGTAACATCCCTTAAATCAATGATTAGATAGATGAATAAATAGAAGACGGATGGATGGATAGATAGATAGATAGATAGATAGATAGATAGAAACATACATAGATACATAGATAGATAAACATTTGTTTTTGACTCTGATGACTTTGTTTTAAAACTGAGCCCTAAGAAGAGCGTGGCAAAAGCATGGTTATGTGAGATTGTCTGTTAACTTTTCTGGACCTCCCTGATTTTCAAACTCTGCCTCTTTCCCGTGTGCTCCTCCACACTTCAGCTGTTTCACTAGACCTCACCTCCAATGACTGACAGAAACTGGTTCTGGTAAAACTCACCCAGCATATTCTCCTGTTCCATATGTGCACGTTGACATTATGAGAACTACAAAAAAAGACCCAAAGACCTGGTAAGATCCAGATGAAACATATTTGTCATAATTCAGTAGCAGTGTGGCTGCCCCCAAGAAAACAATGTATTATCTTTCCTTCCTGTACAGTGAGAATTATGTAGTAAACCATGTTTCTTTTTTGCTTTGACCTCCAAGAAGGTCAGAAGCAAATTTACACCTTAATCATATGAAACTTTACAGTGCTTTTTTTTCCCCCCCTTCTAGTATAATTTACTCCATTTTGTTTTTTCCTGCTACTGATTTTATTTATATGTAACTAGTTAAGCATTTCTCTAGCTGGGTTTCCTTTAACACTACTTTTATATATATGAATAGATCCTTTATGAAAAAAATTCCCTTTAAAAGGTTTTAGGGAAATATTGCATAATAACTATAGCCCCACATCATCCCCAAAAGTCACTTTTATTGAATTTTAAGGGAATCCCAAAAATTCCAGAGAAATTTGAACATGGAACAGTTTTGTCATGATATATATTAATATCTTAAAATATAGTTTGCAAAACACTGTGCTTTCTTGCTTTGTGTATTTTCTGATAGCCACTTTATATCCTTGAGGAAATCAGGAAAGGTATATTGGGGGAACCCACCCCCAATATTTCAACCTAGGTTCTTTCTATTTTCCATAAGTGTCGGCCGGCTGAGAAATAGAGACAGTACAAAGAGAGGAATTTTACAGCTGGGCCACCAGGGGTGACAACACATGTCGGTAGGACGGTGACGCCCATCTGAGTCTCAGACCAGCAAGTTTTTATTAAGGGTTTCAAAAGGGGAGGGGGTGAAAGAACAGGGAGTAGGTACAAAGATCACATGCTTCAAAGGGCAAAAAGCAGAACTACTAATAAGGGTCTAACAAAGATCACATGCTTCTGAGGGAACAGGACAAAGGGCAAAAGCAGAATTATAACGGTCCAACAAAGATCACAGGGCAAAGGGCAAAAGCAGAACTACTGATAAGAGTCTATGTTCAGTGGTGCATGTATTGTCTTGATAAACATCTTAAACAACAGAAAACAGGGTTCAAAAGCAGAGAACCGGTCTGACCACAGATTTACCAGGGCGGAGTTTTTCCCCACCCTAGTAGGCCTGAGGGTATTGCAGGAGGCCAGGGTGTATCTCAGTCCTTATCTCAACCGCATAAAACAGACATTCCCAAAGCGGCCATTTATAGACCTCCCCCCAGGAATGCATTCCTTTCCCAGGGTATTAACATTAATATTCCTTGCTAGGAAAAGAATTTAGCGATATCTCTCCTACTTGCACATCCGTTTATAGGCTCTCTGCAAGATGAAAAATATGGCTCTTTTTGCCCAACCCCGCAGGCAGTCAGACCATATGGTTGTCTTCCCTTGTTCCCTAAAAATCACTGTTATTCTGTTCTTTTTCAAGGTGCACTGATTTCATATTATTCAAACACACGTTTTACAATCAATTTGTACAGTTAACACAATTATCATAGTGGTCCTGAGGTGACGTACATCCTCAGCTTATGAAAGATAACAGGATTAAGAGATTAAAGTAAAGACAGGCATAAGAAATTATAAAAGTATTATTTGGGAACTGAAAAATGTCCATGAAATATTAACAATTTATGTTCCTCTGCTGTGGCTCCTAGCCGGTCCCTCCATTCAGGGTCCCTGACTTCCCGCAACAAAGGTATACATGGACAGATGGATGATTGATTAAATAAGCACATTAGAATTGAATTTTTCAAAACTGCACAGTATATTATTTAATTTCCAAGTTGAATTCTAGAGCAGTTTCATATGCAGAAACTGCCATACCCAATATGAACAACCTATTTGAAGAAATAATTTTAATCAGCTTAAAATAAAGAGACACAAATTTAAAAGAATTTCTGAAGAAAAGTGAAAGATAAGAATCAAGTCAGGTGGGAAAGAGAGAGAAGGTTAAACCCAGAAAAATAAAAGCAATGAAAAAGAACGTGCTGCGATGGATCACAAAACTTTAGCTCAAGTTCTTACATCCAAGGCAAGAAAAAAAGAAAAAGAAAACAAGTGGTTGTCAAATTAGTGCTCTCTAATAAAACAAAACAGACCATAATATGAGATTATAAGAAAACTTTATCATGTAGAAACTTATGATATTTGAGTCAATAATAGGCCGAGTGTGGTGGCTCACACCTGTAATTCCAGCACTTTGGGAGGCTGAGGTGGGTGGATAGCTTGAATTCAGGAGCTCGAGACCAGCCTGGCCAACATGGTGAAACCCTGTCTCTACTAAAAATAGAAAAATTAGCCAGTGTGGTGGTGCACACCTGTAAAAAAAGAGGACTAAAAGAAAGTCCTCTTTTTTTTTTTTTTTTTTTTTTTTGCCAGGAACACTATGTTGAGGAGAGAGTTCTCAAAATTAAAAACAGAATAGGAAGTAATAAAAAATTCAGTGGAAGATAAAGCTGAAGAAATATCCCAGAATGTGGAACAAAATGATAAAGAGTTGAAAATAAAAAAGTGCAACAAAATTGGAGGACTAGTCTAGGGGTTCCCATACCTTAAAAACAAGATTTCCAGAAAGAAAAGAGAAAACAAAGCAGAGGTTGGTCTGGCAGTTTTTCAAGAACTATTTCAAGGAAATGTCTCAGAACTGAAAATTTCCAAATTAAAAGGCCCCACAAAATATCCAACATAATGGATTAAAACATCGTCACCAACCCACATTATTGTAAAATTTTGAAAAATTTCGAGAAAAAAATTGGGAGGGGAAAAAAATCTACAAGCTTGTAGAAAGACAAAAACAAGTTTCATATAAAATCTCAACTATCGGCCAGGCACGGTGGCTCACAACTGTAATCCCAGCACTTTGGGAGGCTGAGGCAGGTGGATCACTTGAGGCCAGGACTTAGAGACTGGCCTGACCAATGTGGCGGAAACTCCTCTTTACTAAACGTACAAAAATTAGCTGGGCATGGTGGTGGATGCCTGTAATCCCAGCTACTCAGGAGGCTGGGGCATGAGAACTGCTTGAGCCAGGGAGGTGGAGGTTGCTGAGATCACACCACTGCACTCCAGCCTGGGCGACAGAGCAAGACTGCCTCAAATTAAAAAAACAAAACAAAAAAAAACTCAATAACAGACATCACTAAGCAATGTCATTTTCAATGTATTTCATTATAGGTTTTTAAGTACACATCAGGAGACTTTAAGTGTCATATAAATTATAAGTGTGTAATGCATTCATTAAATAAAGCTAGAGTGGGTTCTGCCAGTAGGATACTAAAGTCAGTGAGACAAACCCCACCCTTCATATATAGAATTTATAAAATAACAAACCAAGCTTGTTTCATGACTCATAGAACCCTTGTGAGGAGAGCAGTAATCACCTGGTGACCATCAAACACCATCTGGAGGCAAAACTTCTTATCTGAGGAATTTAGAAGGGAACAAAGACCACCTGGTCGCATCTGGTTCCAGGTCTCTTTCAACTTTTATAAGTAACTAAAATTTCTATACTTCTCTGGAATGTCATGCTGAAACTCATTTTACAATGCCAAGCTCCCGCCTTAAGGTCCATAAATACCCCTAAGGAAAATCCACCACGGTGCTCAGTCCTCTCACTGAGGCGCTCCACTGTACCCTTTTGCAGCGTTCCTCCTTTCTAATAAACTTCCCTTTTTCAAACCTATACTGTTGTTGGTAAACTACAACCCGCGAGTTCACCACTTCCTGGTGCTGAGGCTCTCACACCTCCCCCGGCATCTTGGAAATACCAAGGCAAAAAAAAAAAAAAAGAGGCTAGGGAGTAGATTTTGGAGGACATTGATGAGGAGCTTGCTCTGAAGAGAGCCAGCCCACTTGGGATGACTTGATCTTGTCAATAAGACTCAGCAGAACAGGAGAAGACTTAGCAGAAAGTCACTGGGAATTTACCTCTGGAAGCTGAGACTTAAGAAAGAAGATGCAAGTGACTAACAGGAATAGAGATTAAGCCACTAGAAAGAACAACACCTTTGAAAAAAAGAAAAAAGAAAAAAAGAAAAAGTTGCAACTGCGTTTTAAATCAGGAAGTCTTTTAGGTTGGCGCACTGATGTGTCTCATCTTAAGAGTGCTTTGGAAAGGGGAGAAACAGGATACTTTAAAATCCAGAAGTTTCTTTTATTTCCTTTTTTTATAACAATTTTTAAAATGTGACTATCTAAACATGGAAAAAAAACGCCTCCCAATATTCCCTTCAAAAACTTTTCAAGCTTCAAAGACACTTGCTTTATACCCAACAGACTTGATCTTTACACTTTGAGAAGCGTTACTGTATTCAGTTGGCTCCAGGGTGTGAAAAGCAATTCCTCACACTCTATCAGCTTTTGACAATAGGCACTTATGGGCCTGAGTGATCTAAAATAGATTAATGAGGCACTAAAGTACTTTAATGAATAATGGAGCATTTTAAAATTTATTTTGTTTTTTAATTCATTTAACTGCAATCAATTTAACAGTTGAAACACTCCCTCCTGAGTATATTAAAAGGCATATTATATTGAGGTTTTATTAATTTATTATGTTTCAATTCATTTATCATGTATTCATTTTATTAATTTATTCATTGAATTGAGCTTCACCATACAAATATTGTAGAAATCAATGATTTTATTCGGTTTTATGTTCAGCACAACAAGTTTTCAGCACATTAACCAGGGAATTTGGAATCTGTGAGCAGAAACACCATTGGCATAATGCAAAAATATAGTTATCATTTCAAAGAGCATAGGATAACTAGAGTCCACTCAAGAATTTTGATTCTATCTCCCTTAAAAGGTAGACTTTTTTAAAATAATCAGATAGTTTGCAGGCATTCTACATCCTTCTCCTTTTGTTGACTTACTCATCTATTTGTAACATTCCCTTCCCTCTCTCAGAAATACACTCTTTTTAAATGCACCCCCTACCCTCCTTTCACTGATAAAAGTAACAAAGATCTTAAAGAACTGAGTCACACCACTGTTCCTTATGTTCCCATCTATACTAATAAAGAGTGATGGTGGGATTTTGGGTATTTCTACCCATCATAAAGAAATTTGTAAATAATATTTGGCAGACTAGGTCGGGGAAGATGGTTTTCCCATGTGATAACAAAGTTTTGGCTGTCATGTATATGGAAGGTTGTTCTTACCTGTTAGAATGACCTAAATCTTTTTGCAAAACATTTTTCTTTTTAGAGGGTTAGAATTTTATCTGTGAGATTTAACCAGAAACTATCTTGTCATTTAGGTCCACAGAACCAAGCCTGTTTGGAAAACAGTCCTTTAAGAAAAGCTTGTTTCCTTGCTCAACTCAACTGTCTTGACCGCCTTAAACCAAAAGCAAATTTGGAAGACCCCTCCTGCCAAAGCAATCTAAAAGAAGTGAGTGTACTAGCTTGCTTAGCAGTCCACAACTTCAGCAACTGGGCTGATGCAGGTAAATCCTATTTGAGGGTTCAGTCCACCCCTGATAGTGGATCAACTCTGGGTCATTCTTGCAGCTGAATTCTTGCAGTTATGTTTCTAAACTTAACATATCAATTATTTAATTACTGTGCTGTGGTATTAATTCCCAGTGCCTACCTTTTCTCCTTGCCTTGCACAGTGCCTTACACATTTATCAATAAATATTAGTCAAGTGTATGGATGAATAAAACAATTTCAAGTTCCTAGGTGCCCCATTCTTATCTAGAGTCCCTGCTTCATGCTACAATCCCTCAGAAACTGGATTATCTGCTCATCTCTGAGTTTCTAATACCTAGTACTTGTCTGAAGGCACCATCTGAATGGCTCCTATTACTTAAAGCTCAGATTATTTTCTATGCTGCCCTGTATTGATATTCTTCACCTTAGAATCTTACTCAGATTTTAGAGAATCCTTTTCATGTCTCTCAAGATCTCTCCTCCAAAATTTAATCTCACGACTTGAAATGCAGCTTTGGGTACATCTGTCATGAGACCAATTCCTAGAATGACTGACCCTGAGCCATAATGTTACGTTCAAACCTGTAGATTCTGCTTTCTCTACCAGGTCCTTTTACTGAGTCCCTGCCTGCCCTCTCCCCACATAACTATCATGATCTGATGTCTGATTCAAACAGGTTGTTCTTTACTCACTTTGAACAGAAGGACAAAAAGGAGATTGCAAACAGAATGGTTTATACGACCACCTTTAGCAATACATTGGAGT
>NW_003315909.1:0-123821 GCF_000001405.40 Homo sapiens | reverse complement strand
GGGAATGAAGCTAGGTGTGATGGCTCGTGCCTGCAATCCCAGCACTATGGGAGGCCAAGGTGGGAGGATCACTTGAGCTTAGGAGTTTAAGACCAGCCTGGGCAACATAGTGAGACCTCATTTCTACTAAGATTAAAAAATTAGCAGGTGTAGTGGCATGCATCTGTGGTCCCAGCTACTTAGCATGCTGGGGCAGGAGGGCTGCTTGAGTCCAGGAGGTCAAGGCTACAGTGAGCCATAATTATGCCACTGCCCTCCAGCCTGGGTGACAGAGTGAGACCTTGTCTCAAAATAAAATAAAATAAACAAAAAATAAAAATAAAAAGGAATGAAATTTGTATACCTGCTACAACATGCCTGAAGCTTGAAAACATTATGCTTAGCAAAATAAGCCAGACACAGAAGGAAAAATATTGTATGATTCTACTTCTAGAGATACCTAGGGTAGGCAAATTTATACAGACAGAGAGTTAGAATAGAAGTCACCAAGAGCTTGGGGGAGAGAGAAGAAAGGGAGGTTATTGTTTAATGGATACAGAGTTTTTGTTGGACATGATTTTAAAAGCTTTAGGTATAGATGTGTGATGGTTACAAAACATTGTGAAATGCCACTGAATTGTACACTTAAGAATGGTTAAAATGATATATATTGTTATGTATATTTTATCACAACTTTATAAAAGGTCTGACCTTTTTGTGTAATGGTAATTGGTAAAAGCGACTGTGTGTCTGAGACGGGTTGATTGCTTTTTGGTTTGCAGGCTGCCGGCTCTCAGATCGGGATGATAGTCAATTCCTTCACTAACGTCACTGTGGCCATGATCATTGCCTTCTCCTTTAGCTGGAAGCTGAGCCTGGTCATCTTGTGCTTCTTCCCCTTCTTGGCTTTATCAGGAGCCACACAGACCAGGATGTTGACAGGATTTGCCTCTCGAGATAAGCAGGCCCTGGAGATGGTGGGACAGGTAATCTTGCAGATCTAATTTTCCCATTCCTCATGGCTGAGTGGCTATCAGACAAACTGTTAAAAACGAGTAGTACGAAGAGACTGAAGGAAGCTGTCAGCCCACAAGACAGGCACACTTAAGAACCTTCCACCACCCTTTCTATGCGTGCTTGGCGCAAAGGCTGAGGCAATAAAGCTCCGAGACTCTGAGTATGAGCCAGTGTGGAGAAATAGCGGAGTGAACACAGGATTGCCTGTTCAATTTCCTCTCGCATAGTGATTCATTCCACATTCCAATTTGGTGTACTCTCATTTGCAGGGGTGGATAGTTCAGTTTTCTGGCCGTGAAGCTTTTGCAATTTAATGGTTCCCCTGAGCCATGCTTTCCACACACACAGGAGCTATGATGGTTTTAATGGCACATGCCTTTGCTCTTCATACTTTAGAGTCCCCCAGGCTTGGGGCAAGTGTCTTTCCCAACCAGAATTATGAACTACAGTTTAGGTTTTGGATACACTTAGGTTTTAGCTACACATTTTAAAGTGTGTTCTAATTAATATCTTGTCCTTGGGGGGTAAATGAGGGATGGTAGCATAAACACTTCTCAAGTATAAGAATTAAGGGAAACTTGAATTTAACTGAAAAATTGTCTCGTGGTCCAGTTGGGTTGATCTCCAGCCACGTCTTTGTATTCCCAGATGATGCATTCTCTGATTTGTACCACATTCTGCCATTTGCACCATCTAATCCAGGCAGCCACTGAAATGTCACGAAAGGAGTTATTTCTGCCCTTGTATTCCTAAGACTCTTTTTCAATCTTCAGATTACAAATGAAGCCCTCAGTAACATCCGCACTGTTGCTGGAATTGGAAAGGAGAGGCGGTTCATTGAAGCACTTGAGACTGAGCTGGAGAAGCCCTTCAAGACAGCCATTCAGAAAGCCAATATTTACGGATTCTGCTTTGCCTTTGCCCAGTGCATCATGTTTATTGCGAATTCTGCTTCCTACAGATATGGAGGTTACTTAATCTCCAATGAGGGGCTCCATTTCAGCTATGTGTTCAGGTGAGGAATATCTAGCCAAGGTGAGAAAAGATCAACACACAAGGAAGGAATAGCCTGGTTCTGTCAGTTAGCTTTTTGCTGCTTAGCAAACCATCCCAAGCTTGGTGTCTTACAATAGCTGGGATTAATTATTTCTCAAGATTCTGTGGGTCATCAGGGCGGTTCTTCTGACCTGGGCTGACTCAGTCAGGCTTCTGTGTATTCTTCTGTCTCCACATGGCCTGTCTAGCAGATGAGCTTCTTTTCTTCATATTATGGCCTCAGAGTTCCAAGTGCCACAAAAGAGGGCAAGCCCCACTGTGCAAGTACTTTTCAAGTCTCTCCACGCAAAGAAACTTTCTAATTTTCTGTTTGGCCAAAGAAAGTCATACCATCAAGCCCAGGTTTAAGGAATAGAAAAAAATAGAATCCACTTTTTGATGAGAGGAGTAAAAAAGCCATGTTGCAAAGGGATGCATGAAAGTGTGAATTAATATGATCGTTGTTTATAAACAATCTGCCACACATGTTAATGCTGAGAAAATCTAGAGGTCTTGGCTAAGATGGTTCATAGAGAACTGTTTTGTTTGAACTCCTCTCTTGCAAAGAGGGCTGACTCCTCCCAACTGACTCCTCCTAGGCAGAGACAGCATGGGCCATACAGGTGAAGGATGTTCCATTCGTATAGCCAAAGCCTGCTTTTCTAATAAGATTAGCTTTTAGTCCAATTTCTCACATTTCCAGAGGTGAAAGCCTAAGGGTGTCAGGGTACTGGGGAACGAGGTACACATGTATATGGGCGAGTCGGGGGGTAAGGGTGGAGATGGTCTGAGAAAGGTTTGGAGGGCATTAGGAAAAGTGGTCCTATAGGAATCGGTTCTTGGGTTTCCTTCTCTAGCCATGAGTCCCGCCTTCTCACCTGGTATCTCTTTCAGCACTTCTCTCCCACTCCACTACACCCACCCAGCTAGGAAAGTGTCTCTTTTCTAAATCTTTGCATATTTAAAGCTACTAGTCTAAATTAGAAAACACAAACCATTGGCTTATTTTTATTTAGTTTATATTAAGGTTTTAGAATAATTTTAGAATAATTTAGAATAATTTTAGAATAATTTAGAATATTTTTTTGCCAACATGTAAAAATCTGGGGCTACAGGCTGGGTGCGGTGGCTCATGCCTGTAATCTCAGCACCTCAGGCCGAGGCGGGTGGATCACTTGAGGTCAGGAGTTCAAGACCAGCCTGGCCAACATGGCGAAACCTCATCTCTACAAAAAAATACAAAAATTAGCCAGGTATGGTGATGTGTGCCTGTAATCCCAGCTACTTGGGAGGCTGAGGCAGGAGAAAGGAGAATCGCTTGAACCCAGGAGGCAGAGGCTACAGTGAGCTGAGATCATGCCACTACACTCCAGCCTGGGTGACAGAGTGAGACTCCATCTCAAAACAAAACAAAAAGTGGAACTACAGAAAACTTCCAATTTCTGGCTTCACTTTAAAAATTGGAACGTCATCTTCCACCATTTTCCATTTCATTTCAAGTGCTTTTCATTCCCTTAGGCTTTAAACTGGGCTCCCGGGGATGTTCAGATTTGCAATTCTGGCCTAAAACAATTCCTGCTTATGAACTGAGCAGTGTGACACACAAAGACACATCCCTTATCCCTATCCCCATCCCAGGCAGACCCTCTGTGCATGACAGTGCAGGTGAGCAGCTTTGGGGGCTACTACTCACATCATAATCTCTACAGCAACAAAGTTATCTCTCATTATATTTATCATTCATTTATTCATTCACTCTTTCGTTAATTAAGTACATGTTGACTATAGTTAGAGGCTAAGACAAGTAGAAGGAGACAGGCAATTGCATCTGTCTTGCTCTCTGAAGCATAAATTATATACATGCCTGGTGCAAAAATGATGCTTATATCATCAATCATTATCTTTTATATACCTATTATAGATTCAATAACTGTTAGAATTCTAGAAAAATCAACTCAATCTGGTGATCTTTCAAGCCTGCTTTTTCTTTTAAAAAAATTTTTTCAGAAGTCTTTTTCCCCCTCAAACAATTTTCTTTTCTTTTTTTTTTTTTTTGAGACGGAGTCTTGCTCTGTCACCCAGGCTGGAGTGCAGTGGCGCGATCTTGGCTCACTGCAAGCTCTGCCTCCCAGGTTCATACCATTCTCCTGCCTCAGCCTCCCGAGTAGCTGGGACCACAGGCGACCACCACCACGCCCAGCTAATTTTTTGTATTTTTAGTAGAGACGGGGTTTCACCGTGTTAGCCAGGATGGTCTCGATCTTCTGACCTCGTGATCCGCCCGCCTCGGCCTCCCAAGGTGCTGGGATTACAGGAGTGAGCCACCGCGCCTGGCCAACAATTTTCTTAAAGGAAGCTATTGTGGTCAAATAAAGGTTTGGAGGTCTGAGCTCTCCCCCCTTCATGCTTGTTCAGTCCTCTTCTTACTCCTTTTTCATAGAACACAGTTTGAAAACTGCCAGTCCCTTAAACACCACCCTCTCCATTTCCAGACAAGTCTGAAGTGACTTGCTCAAGGATATTTGGTCCTTTCCTGGCAGAACCAGGGCTAGATCCCCAAACTTCTGCCTTCAGGTCATCACACCAACCACGCCACCCTGCTCTCTTCCTGTGTGTCTGTCTGGTTACAGGGTGATCTCTGCAGTTGTACTGAGTGCAACAGCTCTTGGAAGAGCCTTCTCTTACACCCCAAGTTATGCAAAAGCTAAAATATCAGCTGCACGCTTTTTTCAACTGCTGGACCGACAACCCCCAATCAGTGTATACAATACTGCAGGTGAAAAATGGGTAAGTGTTGGAATACTATGCAGCCATAAAAAAGGATGAGTTCATGTCCTTTGCAGGGACAGGGATGAAGCTGGAAACCATCATTCTCAGCAAACTAACACAAGAACAGAAAACCAAACACCACATGTTCTCACTCATAAGTGGGAGTTGAACAAACAGAACACATGGACACAGGGTGGGGAACATCACACACCGGGGCCTGTCAGGGGATGGTGTGGGGTAGGGGAGGGATAGCATTAGGAGAAATACCTAATGTAGATGACAGGTTGATGGGTGCAGCAAACCACCATGACACGTGTATACCTATATAACAAGCCTGCACATTCTACACATCTACCCCAGAACTTAAAGTCTAATAAAATAAATAAATAAATAAAATGTGTAAGTATTGATGAGGGGTAAGGTTGTGCGTATGTGTGTGCAGGACAGCCATTAGGGATGGCCATACAATACCACTTGGCTTCTAAATTCCTGCTGTATATGGGTTCATTCATACATACTTGGAGAAGACAAACAGTAGATTTATAAATACAAAGGAATAAAGTAAATTAGCATCAAAAATTATTCCTAAAGCTGGCATTTGAACAAGGTGATGACATTCAGTGAATGCTAAATTCTGTGTAATATAAAATACACTTAGTTCCCAAATGAATGAAGCCAGTTGTCCTCTGAGATCTACCTAACCACTGTGTTTTCTATTGATGTTCTGATACAGAATGTAGAAAAATCACTTCTTCCTGTCCAATAACATTGATTTAATTCATGTTCATCTTGATTCAAGTTTTAGCTTATGTGGATGTCCTGAAAATTAATTCAATCTCAACAAAATATCTGTTCTTCTAATTGATAGATAGGTATTTGTAAATCTTCTCTACCTATTTTTGAAAATTTTAGTATGTTCCAGAAAGCAAAGCAAACCTAAACACTAGTAAAGCTAAGCTAAATTCTGTAATCTTTCTAAATTGGTAAAATTTCTCCTTCAGTTCAGTAAATGTAAAGTTTCTGTGTGGTCTATTAAATGTCTATCCATTTCTAGATTTTATAAGTTAGAGTTTTAAGCACACCAAAGTACAATAGAAAGTATTCACCTTTGCAGTACAGACCTCAGGTAACTTTCTTTCTAGGTCGTTTTAAGTGTAACATTATTTTTAGTCTTTAGGAGAACAAAGCTATAGGGTTTGGACAGTTACTGGCTTCTGTGATGTCATATCTTCCAGCTATTCTCTTCTATTCAGAATGTCAGGAATAGATGGCAAGAAAATCCCCTTATGTTAGACTGGGAATAGGGGGAGTCAAATGTCTTTAATTTCGTTGCCCAAGCCTTCCTTTATACTACATCTTTCAGAACACAAAATGGAATGTCCTTTTATTAAGTTGCTGTCTTTATACTTTGCACTTTGGCAGCATGGTTTGAAGGTATCTCAAGCAGGGATTTTAAACTCAAGATTTAGGTGTGTTTTCAATATTCTAGGCTTCAGTAAGAGCATCTCTAATTTTGATCCTCCCATCCACAGGACAACTTCCAGGGGAAGATTGATTTTGTTGATTGTAAATTTACATATCCTTCTCGACCTGACTCGCAAGTTCTGAATGGTCTCTCAGTGTCGATTAGTCCAGGGCAGACACTGGCGTTTGTTGGGAGCAGTGGATGTGGCAAAAGCACTAGCATTCAGCTGTTGGAACGTTTCTATGATCCTGATCAAGGGAAGGTGGTAAGCCACGCAACCTTTTTGAGAATTTTGCCTTCTGCAGAGTATTTCCAACCCCTAAAAGTGGGCTTCAAGTTTTTGCTTTGCCAGACTCACTTTAAAATGCTTGCCTAAGGCACTTACCCCATGCATATTTTCCAGTCCCAGTCATTTGCTGCTTCACCTGATTCTACCTCACAATTTCTAATGTCAGATTTTCCCCAGTTCCAGATGGCCTGCTGACCAGTTAGGCAAAGAAAACTGGGCACACTGCAAAGCTGGAGATGAGTGTATTTAATAGAAGCACTCACTTACCCGTAAATGGAGCAGAAAGTGCAGACTAATCAGGAAACTAATGACCAGGAATGGAAAAAGTAGAGTGATAAGGGAAATAATGATAAATGAGCAAGAAAGGAGAGTTAGCATGAAAAGATCTAAGACAATCCTTGTTCAAGAAGCTGAAATCTAAATAACGCAAGGAACTCAGATTGAGAGCCATGTACCATAAATCTTTAGCAAGGATATTTGAAATTTTGGTGAATAGCTTTGGTATTTATTTTTCATAACATTTCTTTCTCTTTTCTGTCCTTTTTTTCTTTCTTTAAAAGTAATATATGCAGAAGGTCACAAAATCAAATAATAAATATTTATAATAAAAAGCCACCCCCCTGCTTTATGCTTACACTCCCACTCCACATTTCTCTGCTCAAAGGCAACTATTTTTGACCACTTGATGTTTTTTGATCTCCCAATGGTGACTTTTATGTCTTTAAATAATATGCTCATGCTATTTCATGATTTAACAAATTTAGACTCTCTGTGATTTATTCTCAAGAGATAAAAATCTACTTACTCTCACCACTCCCTCCTTTTGCCTACCTCCTCCCAATATAGTTATATCATTTTTTAGGCCTTCTATTTATAAATTTGTAAACTTCTGATCTGCTTCCGTTGCTCTTCCACCACCTGTAGATAGTTCCTCTTGAATTCTCACTTTCTAAAAGAAAAATGTTAGCAATCCTACCTTTATTTTCACCTCTTACTCTTTTCACCTCTTACTTCTTTTACCTCTTAAGTTCTAACTGCACTTTTATCAAGAATTCAGAGCACATTCTGTTTATAACATTATCTTTCCTGCCTTCACTCTAAGTTGATTCTAAAAGTTGAAAATCAATTGACAGCTTTTTTAATGATTATGTAAATATTGTTCATCCTTCAGTCAAATAGTGAGTTACATTTACATTATATTTTTTTGATTGTTTTTCTGAAAGGTTTCTTTTTTTCTTGCATTCTTTGTCTTCATGAAAACCTTTGTGTTCTTCCAATGTCTCTGTCAGGCCATCTCTTCCCTCATTTCTGTCACTCGCAACGTTTGCCTGTTGAACAGTCATCATCCTGTGAGTTCCCTGTGATATTTCCTTGGATTAGATCCATTATTTCGTAGTTCCCATACATTCCTTTTTCTAGTTTTTACCCCCTTTTGTTGGAGCTCATCCAAAAGCAAATTTCTAAGAAATAGTTCATAGATATGGGTCTGAAAATGTTTTGTTTTGCTTCATACTTGATTAATTGTTTAATCCCTATATTTTGAAAGTGGCCTTTCTGACTTCCCTGAATAGTATAATCTTTAATGTAATATACTATTATGAAGAGTATAACATTATGAAGAGAAATGCTAAGAAAATTTTGAAAAAGGCAACTAAAGATTTCCTTGTATAAAGCAAAGCAAGGAAACAAGCAAACAGAAATTGACAGAATCCAGGAAGTTATAAAAATAAGGACTAAGTATTGATTGCCTATAATTTATAATCCCTTCTGTTATTAAGTTGAGGTATAAAGATTGTAAATTTGTTTGAAAGTATTTGGTAACCAATAAACCTAGAAAGCCCATTGTAACCAGAGGTATAATTCTGATAAGTCAGAGGGTTCAATTTTCCAAAATGTCACTTCTGGCATGCCTGCAGCCAACATAGATTGTGAACTATGCAAGGTACAGGAAACTGAATCCCTCATATTTACTTTTCCAACATTAACATGTACATTAAGTATATTTCTCTGAATATGCCCAGTGAATGTTCTGGTCACAGGTCGAAAGCAAGGCCAATAAGGAAATCATTATGACTTCTTGCATTTCATAGGCACAGTATATTTTGTTACAACATCGTAAAACATTTCTACAAACATTTTAAGCAGAAAACCTACCACTTTTTATGTTTTTTTTTCAAAGTCCTCTTTGCTCTTAATCTACCAAATGTAGGCGTTCAATATTTTCAACATTTATTTGGATACCTATGATGTGCCTGTTACTGCATGAGTCCCTGTGGGAGAGTCTAAGGACCATGAAGCATGTCTTCTGCCTTCTAGGAGCTTACAATGTAGCACATTTAGAAGAATGAGCAAACAGCCTGAGTGTTTAATTATTAAATTGTGTTTTGCAGACTTAAGTGCTATGGAAAATGAGTAGAGCAAGATAAGCCAGGGCTAATTGTTATTGAGAAATGCTTTATATTTTTTCTAATAGTGTTTGCTTTTTCCATTACTTAGAAATTATCTTAAATATAATCTGTTCATACCATTTATCACAATTTTTTTCTGAAATAATAGGGCCAAATACTTTATAGTAGCACGTTAGGCATCTGTGCCTTTAATATTCTAGGACTCTTTAGTGAATCAGCTCATGTGGTAGATATTCAAGTACCTGGACTTAACTGCCTAACTAGACTGTGAGTTCCTAGGAAACAGAGATTATATTTTCTTTACGTAGCAGACATAGATGGCTTAGGATGGTGCTTTGTGGCAGGTGATTCAAATATATGTTTGTTGATTGACTAAGTGAATAAATGTATTCCTTTTTTACTTGGTTTTATTATCTCAGTTATGCAGAGAATGGTGTTAGTAAAATCAAGAAAACAGGTTTGACCCTTATATTGCCCAAAAGCTTCACAGAGAAAAATCCTTTCCATAACTCATGAGTCTCAAAATAGAGCAACCCTGTATATTTGTAGAGAGTGTGCTGCACCAAAGTAAGGGGACGTTGTTTCTTACCTGAATACCTGAGCGTCTTTCTCGTTTGCCCCACCTGTAGAGCCAGAGTTCAGGAAATAAATAGGACCATAGTCTGATTAGTGTTAACATGGATGCCACTCCTGATAGACATTACATCCAGAGGTCAAAGGCAACATAATTTATTCCATAATTTTAGCCTTGGGATTGTTAGTCTGTTAAGCAAACCAAATGTCCTGCATAACACCTAATGCTAGAATATGAACTTTCCTCACTGCTGGAATTCTAAAAACCTAATGACCTGTCATCTCCTCTATTGGCAGATGATAGATGGTCATGACAGCAAAAAAGTAAATGTCCAGTTCCTCCGCTCAAACATTGGAATTGTTTCCCAGGAACCAGTGTTGTTTGCCTGTAGCATAATGGACAATATCAAGTATGGAGACAACACCAAAGAAATTCCCATGGAAAGAGTCATAGCAGCTGCAAAACAGGCTCAGCTGCATGATTTTGTCATGTCACTCCCAGAGGTGAGTACGAAGTCAGAGCCATTCCCTATGAGAGACAAGGATGGGGAGAAGTAGAATGACCAGAGTGTACAGGTTGAGCATCCCTAATCTGAAAATCCCAAATCCAAAATGTTCCAAAATTCAAAAATTTTTGAATGCCAACATGATTCCACAGGTGGAAAATTTCACACTTGACCTCATGTGATGGGTCACAGTCAAAATGCAGTCAAAACTTTGTTTCATGTACAAAATTATTAAAAATATTATAGGAATTTACTTCTGGGCTATGTGTATAAAGTAGATAAGAAACAGGAATTTTGTGGTTAGACTTGAGTCCTATCCCCAGGGTATCTCATTATATGCAGATATTCCAAAATCTGAAAAAATCCAGAATCTGAAACGTTTCTGGTCCCAAGCATTTCTGATAAGAAATATTCAATCTGTATTATGATTGTGGCTCTAGAAGGTCAAAGGATATGCAATTTATTTCACAGTGCCCCTGGACTGTCTTAGTTTTTTAAGCAAAAGAAATATCCTTCATCAACATACTCTTTAATTTTGGAAAGTATTGTATTGCCCAATGCAATGGATGCTATTTTTGTTGAATTTTTTTGTACATTGAGCTTTAGTTTAGCATAGTGGGGAAACACCTGAGATTTGGAGCTGACCTGGGCTTGCATCCAAGCTTTGCCACTTAGTAGCTTCATAGCTTTGGGACAATTATCCTTTCTGAGATTGTCTATTTCATCTGCAAAATGCAAGAAAATAACGTTAAAATGAAGAAAACACACTTAATAGCCACACAATGAAAGCGGCCACTGGTATTACTGCCATCATCATTATTTCATTACTTGGCAATGTGTACCGTGGGTGGTGGGTAAGTTACACCTGCCTTACTGTCTCTTACTTTGCCAAACCCAAGTCCAGATTTCGCGCAATATTGACTCTGCATTTTTCCATCCACCAAAAGTCCCTCTTAGTTTTGATCACAAGAAAAATTACAACATGGAAACCAAATTGTAGGGCCAAATTTTACCTTTAACCTTCTCTACTTACTTTTTAAAAATATCCCTGGGAAAATTGTTTTTCTTTATAAGTGATTATGTTTATAAATTTTGTGGGTTTGTGGAAGGCTTTTTGTTTGCTCTTTTCACAAAGTCTCCTAAGTTTTAGGCTCTTGGCCCAGTTCTTACCTGTTAGCCCAATCTATAAGCACATGGAAATTACTATTTGCTGAATCCAGAGATCAAAAGCAAAGATTGTGTGTCTCCTGGAAGATTCATTTATCCCACAAACCCTTATTGAATAGCTACTCATGTTGGGCAAGGCACTGTCATGGAGCTGGTTTACTGCATTGTCCTCATACAGACTTGCCCGTGGCACCCTTCTCTGAGCACTTTGTCTCCACAAAGACAAAGCAGGTTTTCATGGGTCTCACCTGGCTTAAAGGAGCATTCCTCAGGAGGCAAGGGAAGCAGGGAAAGGAAACAGCTCGTGTTGTGGAAGGCAAGGAAGAGAAGTAGTCAAGGCAAGGACTTAGAGGAGAGCAAGATTCACTTTCATCTGGATTCAGATTTCACTTTCACTGCTTGTTACTTGTCCTCGCACCATTTTCTTACCTCCCTGTGCCTAAGTTTTGTAATCTAAAAAATAGTGTGGGTATGGTTTCTGTGAATATTAAATGATACCCTAGCTAGAATAGTTAGCACAATACCTCTATGGTAAACACTCTATGAATGTTAACTAATTTTTATGTAGCCATGCCAGGCATGAGTGATTTTTTCTTCCTAATTTTCTCTAAAACTCACAATAAATATGTGAAGTAAGTGTTAATACTGCACCTCAGATGCCTAGCCAGCTCAAAAAAATTTAAATAATTTGTTCATGAACACAAGCTAGTAAGCAGCAGAGTGGAGCTTCTAACCAAAGCCTGTGTTCCAGAATGCTGCCTCCCTAATACAGCAATGGACCAGAAGATCTCGCAAAAGACATTTCCATTCTTGGGATTAGTCCATATTGGAAGGATTTTTCCAGATAAGAATCTAGAATCAGAGAGTCTCAAATCAAGGAGGATCTCATATATGGGCTCTTATGTGGACACAGGGAGAAGGAGATTGAAAATATAAACCTAAAAGAAATGCAGAAATGAGGAATAATGTCCCCTTGCTTCCCACATCAAATGTCACAAATTCCATATTTTTCTTATATTCCTAAGTGGATTTGACATCCTCCATCCTATAGGAGGACTCACTCACTGTTCCCTAGTTCAACAAACAAATAATTTAAATTACAGAGGAGACCTTGACATGAGTTCAGTACAGCACAGGAGCAATAACTGTTTCTATTTCTCAAACTTATCATACTTTTTTTCAGAAATATGAAACTAACGTTGGGTCCCAGGGGTCTCAACTCTCTAGAGGGGAGAAACAACGCATTGCTATTGCTCGGGCCATTGTACGAGATCCTAAAATCTTGCTACTAGATGAAGCCACTTCTGCCTTAGACACAGAAAGTGAAAAGGTAAGTGTTGAATTTCTAAAGTCTTAGATCATTACAAATAAGTCTTTTGCTGTAAAATTTGTCCTTAATAAAATGGCACTATTTTCAATTTTCTGATTCGTTAACAGTAGAAATTGGCAATACTTTGTGGAACCAAAAGACAATTATCTAGAGCAAGTGATTTAATATAAGATTGCTTCAAAAAAAATATTTTACCTTTAAAATAAGAATTGTTTTTAAGATTCTTTAGGCTAAGTGACATTTTTTTCCAAAGGCAAATAATCACCTTTCTTGAATAAAGTAAAATAATCTAGATTATCTGTTATATTTTATAGTTCTAAAGTTATGTGACAGAGAAGGTAGGCCACATGCAACACAAAGAAAGAGGTGATATCTGATGTGTGGTTTGCATGAAAGAAGATGCAATTGAGCAAAACACAATTATGAAATTTAAAATGTATAATTAATGCCATAACAATCGGGATTCCATTTTGGAGAGAGCTAAAATGTCTTCAATGAAGAGCAGTATCAGGAATGGCCACTTAACTGCTACCCTCCGTTGTTTTCTTCATTTCATTTCAGGAAACTAGACCATCAAATATTGTAAAATTATGTAGGGACTTCATAGTTTGCTTCCTTCTTGCTCCACTGAAATTTCTCAGCCAGTGCACTGCCATTGAAATCACTGATGCATTGCATTCAGGGAATACTTGCTTAATCCTCTCTTATGTTGAGCCTTTGGGTTTGCCGTCAAGTATAGGATTGTTATTCAGGTCGTGTTAACTGAACTCTCATGATGGTGGGCTGGGGAGCAATCATGCATCTTTGCATCAACTTTCCATCTTCTCTTTGCAGACGGTGCAGGTTGCTCTAGACAAAGCCAGAGAGGGTCGGACCTGCATTGTCATTGCCCATCGCTTGTCCACCATCCAGAACGCGGATATCATTGCTGTCATGGCACAGGGGGTGGTGATTGAAAAGGGGACCCATGAAGAACTGATGGCCCAAAAAGGAGCCTACTACAAACTAGTCACCACTGGATCCCCCATCAGTTGACCCAATGCAAGAATCTCAGACACACATGACGCACCAGTTACAGGGGTTGTTTTTAAAGAAAAAAACAATCCCAGCAGGAGGGATTGCTGGGATTGTTTTTTCTTTAAAGAAGAATGTTAATATTTTACTTTTACAGTCATTTTCCTACATCGGAATCCAAGCTAATTTCTAATGGCCTTCCATAATAATTCTGCTTTAGATGTGTATACAGAAAATGAAAGAAACTAGGGTCCATATGAGGGAAAACCCAATGTCAAGTGGCAGCTCAGCCACCACTCAGTGCTTCTCTGTGCAGGAGCCAGTCCTGATTAATATGTGGGAATTAGTGAGACATCAGGGAGTAAGTGACACTTTGAACTCCTCAAGGGCAGAGAACTGTCTTTCATTTTTGAACCCTCGGTGTACACAGAGGCGGGTCTATAACAGGCAATCAACAAACGTTTCTTGAGCTAGACCAAGGTCAGATTTGAAAAGAACAGAAGGACTGAAGACCAGCTGTGTTTCTTAACTAAATTTGTCTTTCAAGTGAAACCAGCTTCCTTCATCTCTAAGGCTAAGGATAGGGAAAGGGTGGATGCTCTCAGGCTGAGGGAGGCAGAAAGGGAAAGTATTAGCATGAGCTTTCCAGTTAGGGCTGTTGATTTATGCTTTAACTTCAGAGTGAGTGTAGGGGTGGTGATGCTACCATTACTGTGAGGACCTACCAGTGTGGCTGGAGCAGGGACTCTCTCCCAGGCCTTTTACTCCTCAGCACCTCCCTGCATACTGATTGTTGTTTTTAGTTTCTGTGAAATTATATTCATGAAATGAAAATAGCGCATTTTACTTTGCTGTAGTTTCATAAGGTTTTATACAAAAAAGCAAGTAAATATGGCAGAAAAGCACTCATTTGCCCCTGCTCCCTCAAAACACCACAGAATGACATAGAACTAAAGGCGGCAGGAATCTACAAGAATGAAGAAAACACAGTGATGCCACCTGCAAAATCTTGGGAGCCAGAAAGCAAATGGACAATTGATAATAGAGTTACAAGATGAGAGAAAACAAAAATGTAACCTGTTAGTTGGGGGAGCCTAGAAACATCCTGTTTTGTACCACAGACCCCTAGAAAGTTTCAAGATGTAAAAACACTGGATCCTTCTGGAAGGAGGAGACAAGGGGACAGAGGGACTGAAGACAGAAGAATGGACCAAAAGCCTGTATGGAAACAGAATTGCAGAGCCCCGCCTGCAGCAGGATGGCTGCCTTTCCCCAGTTCCAGCGAGAAACTGCATACTCCCTCTCTGAGGAGGCTCACAGGGAGGTTTGCACTTAGAGACACAAGATGAAGTTGAAGGGGCAGCTAACATACAAGAGACAGGGGGATTGAATGTAAAGCTGTGTATGAACAGAAGAACTCCCAGCCCCTCTCTTCTGGCAGGAGATTGAAGAATGATTTTCTGGGGAAATTGGCCAATCTTAGAAAAGAGGTCGGGCCAGGCGCTGTGGCTCACTCCTGTAATCCCAGCACTTTGGGAGGCCAAGGCGGGCGGATCATGAGGTCGAGAGATTGAGACCATCCTGGCTAACATGGTGAAACCCCGTCTCTACTAAAAATACAAAAAAATTAGCCGGGCGTGGTGGCGGGCGCCTGTAGTCCCAGCTACTCAGGAGGCTGAGGCAGGAGAATGGCGTGAACCCGGGAGGTGGAGCTTGCAGTGAGCCGAGATCGCGCCACTGCACTCCAGCCTGGGCGACAGAGCGAAAAAAAAAAAAAAAGAAAAAGAAAAAGAAAAGAGGTCAAGGACTCCGTCCTTGGAATCCTAAGAAAATTTTCCAGCCGTATTACCCTTCTATGAAGCCCACCTGTCAACCAACAAGCACCCACTCGATCAGAGCTTCCCCAGGCTTTTTGGTGTCTCCTCCTTGCATGGGAATTGACTTCCAAGGACCACCAGACACTGAGGAAGTATTTTAACATATAAAGCAAAAGCAACAATAGGGCAGCTGGAGAAAGGAAATTAGAAGTAACAGAGCCAATGCAGTGATTAGAAAAACACTCAAAAAATGGTAATAAATGTGTTCAATGGGTCAAGAGAACATATTTCCATCTATTTAAATAAAAACAGGAATCAATAAAAGTGAACATACAAAAAAGAGCTCTTGTCACAGAAATGAAAACCTTGGGAGCAGGACTGCACCCACGGTTCCCACCAACCTATCCTGCCATCATGTTTTCTCCCTACTCCAGCTTCCTCCCAAGCTCACTCTACGTAGATGGTTTTTCTTCCCTTAGCCAACAAACGAAATTCTGCCTATAAATTAAGCCAGGACACTAGGATATGGAGGTATATTATTTATGTCTCTTTTCCAGTGTTTCCTGGTATATAACAGCAAAGATGGTTTAGCAAGTTAACTGGTCAGGCCAGAATTCTTGATGGTTGCCAAGTCAGGAGGCAGACGGTGAAGGAATGCATTCTGGTTATGAAAAATGGCAATGACGAGTAAGTTGCAGAGTAAAGATGCCTTTTAGAGGAAATTAAGGTTTGCAATAAATGCATGCTAATCCTCTAATTTTGATGAAAGACTAAAGCTCTTGTTTTGGTTTGCATTTCAAAGAGCAAGAGCATAGGCTCTTGTGCTGGGAGGTGGCCAGTTTCCTGGAAAGGAATTTATGGAGTCTGAAAGAGGAATTAGTACAAATTATATTTTCAAATAAGATACTTGAAAGTTATTGATGACAGGGAAAAGATTGTCTAAAGAGGGCTTGAAATTGGGGAAATAATTGAGGCTCAGTGACAAAGGAGAAGATTACAACTTCAAAAATGAATAAATAAATAACATTGCATGTTTATTTTACAACACCAGGGGGCGATGATGTCTACGTTTTTATTCTGTATCCTTTATCGCTGACAAAGATTTGGTCTCTGCAATTTTACCTTATTGTTTCTCAGATGACCAAGGGGTTGGCTTAATTTGTTCTGTTTAAACTTATTGCAAGTCCTTCTGTAATTTCCTAATGTTTTCATAATGTGTGTTGTGACCAGACTCTCCTTATAACCCCAGTTAATAAAAGTTAACAGGAAAAAAAAAAAATAGAAGGATTGGAAGATAAAGTTGGGGAAATTTCTCTGAAAGTAAAACAAAAAGATAGAGATGAAAAGTAGGAAAAAATAAGAAAAGAAAAAATTGAGGGTAACAATTCAGGTGGTGCAATAATTAGTCAATAGTCTAGTTCAAGAGAGTTTATTTAAAAAAATAAATTTAGACTATTTTAAAAAATAGTCTAAGATCATTTCCTACAATTGAAGAATATGAATTTCCAAGCTGAAAGAGTTCACCCAATACTGAATATAATAAATAAAAATCCTATTTGGGCACAGTATGAAATTTTAGAAAATGAGGGAAAAGGAGAATATTTTCCAGGAGAGAAGGAGGAATGTGTGACATATAATCGATAAAGAATTATAATCATGTGACTGGGCACAGTGGCTCATGCCTGTAATCCCAGCACTTTAGGAGGCCGAGGCAAGAGGATTGCTTGAGCCCAGGAGTACAAGACCAGCCTGGGCAACCTGGCGAAACCCCATTTCTAACAAAAAAAGAAAAGCAAAAATTAGCCAGGCATGGTGGCATGAGCCACTCGGGAAGCTGAAGTGGGGTGATTGCTTGAGTTCAGGTGGTTGAGGCTGCAGTGACCCAACATCGCGCCACTGCCCTCCAGCCTGGGCAACAGAGCAAGACCTTGTCTCAAAAAAAAACAAAACCAAAAAACCAAAAAACAAAACAAAACACACACACACACAAAAGAACTATAATGACATAGGACCTCTTGACAATGAAACTAAAATTCATAAAGATTTGCCTTCAAAATTCTAAGGGGAATCATTCTATATGTAGCAAAGCTATTCTCAAGAATGAGAGAGGTCTAAAGACATTCTCAGTCATGCAGGTCTCAACACCTCTACTCCCCATCTTTTCTCAGAAAGCCACAAAAGGGGGCTTTTTTTTTAAAAAATAAGGTCACAGATAAAAAAAATAGGAAGATATGGGATGTAAGAACAGATGACCTAACTCAAGAATGAGGTGCTGGGAATCTCCAGGATGATTAGGAAGGAGATCCCAGGATTACAGGTGTGCTGTACCCAGAGGAAGTAGTCAGCTAGATTGAGGCAGGGAAATGGGTTCTGAGAGGAATGTCCCCCAGAAAAACATGGTGCTGCTAGAATGCCTGGTGGGTTTGAATGCTGAGAGAAGACAGAACCCCCTGCTAGAGTTTGAGGGTAAGTTAGCAATGCGTAATAGAAGACAAAGAGAGTGAGATTGGAGATTTTTAGCTATTAGCTCTAGGTGGAAAGAAAAGTTACACAAAAAGAAAATATATTTTTATTTTACCTTATGACTCATCTGAGAATGTTATTTACAAAGTCACATCAATGTAAAAGCTTAATACTGATCTAAAGCAGAATTATAGATAGATTATGAAAGGAACAAGAAAATATGTGGGGTAGGTTGGGATGGGATAGGACATGGGTAAAAAAAGAACTGGATCCTTGTGGTCCTCATATTTCATAATGGAAACTAAACAGTTAAACATTTAAACAAATAAGATGTTTTACAATAAAAACATCTTATTGTAAAAGATGAAGGTGAATACTGAAAGAAACTGCTAAAAGATTTATGTACATATATATCTTTCATTGAAAAAAATAAAGTTTAAGATGAAAAGGGGATAGAAATGCAGTACAGTTACAAAAATTAAAACAATAGATACTGAAACTATTATAGATTTGAAAGATACATCACCAGAACAGAAGGGAGTCCAGAAATAGATTCACCAGAGATCCCATTTATCAGAATATATTTTAAACTTCTAATCACAAAAAGTGAGCACACTTTTCTCTTCCTGCATTGTTCACAATCATTTGGAAAAAATCTCAAATCTATAAATAAGACGATGGGGTAAAGGTCAAATAAGTTTCGGTACATATATGCAATGATGTTTTTCATGAAGCCAAAATAATGATGTTGACTTACATTTATTGTTTTTTGTGGAGCAATGCCCATGTTATATTGTGCAGAAAAAAACCATTTCTGATCATCAAAGATGGTATGATGCTATCTATCTGTCTAATCATCTATGCACACACACTCATACATGCATGCATCTGTTATGTGTGTATCTGTGTTTGGTGTGTGCTTGTACATACTTGTATGCATAAAAAGATATCTGGAAGAATTTCTGCCAAATTTTGGTAACTTTTATTTCCAGCCATTTGTCCTCTGTGTGACCAGAACTCCCTGCATATACTAAAATGTCTATTGATGGTCTTTGAGGGCAGAGACTGCCTAGTTCATCTTAATGTCCCCAGTGCTTTACTCGGTACTTGGCATAAAGTTCTACCTCAATACATCTTGTTGAATAGTCTTCTCAAAGTCACACAGGTAGTTTATAACTTGTCAGCCCCCACGTAAGGAATAAAAGTGGAAAACGCCCATTCTTTCCGTGGGTCAGAGCAGTGCCTTTCAACAGAAATATAATATGGGCCACTAATGTGAGCCACATAGGTAATTTTAAATTTTCTAGTCACATAAAAAAGTGGAAAAAAAACAGGTGAAATTTATGCTAATTGTATATTTTATTCAACCCAACATATCCAAAATATTGCCATCACAACATGTAATCAAAAATATCCTGAGATTTTTACATTATCTACTAAATATTCAGAATCTGAGGTGCATTTACATTTACAGCACATGTTAGCTCAAATCAGCCTTATGTCAACGTCTGTTCTCAAGAGCCACTAGTGGCTACTATGTTGGACAACACAGAATTAGAATATCAGGTTCATGAATTCTCTAGTCTGAATCTCAGTTGTCTCTACAATTCTAGTCTTATAAAAACATGAGCCCAGCTTCTCCATTGGAATGTGTCCTTACACTGTACTCAGAAACTTTGCAAAACTTCAGTTTTGCAGGATGTCAGTTTGGATGCAAGAAAGACCTTTGGGGAATCAAACAAATCATTTTGATGTCAGAAGTCATAGAGCTACACTGGCCTGTATCAGAAGTGGTTAAAATGCTTTACATCATACATTTTATTTGATTCACCAGTGTGAGTTGACAAAAGTGAAATAACTAAGATTGTTTAGTGTAACAAAATACAGTATGATATTAAAAATGGTCATATTAGCTAAGCTTCCTGAGGACCTCTTCCCAAAACAAGTTTTCTTCCAGTTGATCTGTAAGAACCATTTATGATTTTTTTCTGTGAACAATTCTTAGGAAAAGTTGAAGCAGCACATCTTCCAACTTATTTTGAAAACAGGCTCTCAGTTAATTTTGGTCCATTTCAAAATTGCATGAAAGAGATGCCCATATATTAGAAATGCTACTGTTTGAGAAAAAAAAAGGTAGAAAAATTGGCCTCTAGTTTTTTTGTCCAAAAACTCTTTTTTATATAGTTACTCTAAATGTACTCTACATGTGCCCTTAGGAAATTATTTCAATGAAAAGATTCTTTGAATTTGGTGCTGCCCCCGTGCCTATAATTTTTGGCAATTATACACTCATTTTAAAATGTAGGTCCTGGAATATTTTAATACTATATTCTGAAAGTGTAAAATACATAGGATCATAATTAGGTATAGTTTGCCATATATTTATTCAATAATTAAATATCAGTTTCTTATCGTAAGAAAATATCAGAACAGTTTCATCATGTTGGTTTAGGATCCCACCTCATATTTCCAACTAAGGGTTTGATTTATTAAATATTTCTTATGCATGCAAAATCTCTCCATAATCAAGGCACAAAAGGATGTTAGAGGAAATACAAAATTAAGAATTTGGTTGTTTTCAAACACACTTGGAGAGAAATTTACATATACATGTGTACCATCATAAAATGAGCACTGTGTCCACTTGGATTTGCTCTAAATTTACAGATCAAGTAAATGATCTCACCTGCATGTGAGACGGCAGGTGAAAGTAACTCAGTGAACCTCTAAACCCATTTCCAATTTCTTTCACACTGGGTTCAATTAAATGCCCAATTAATTTAAATAGCAGACTGTAAATAAAGCAATGCACATGATTATCATCTAATTAGCACTGGCCAGCATTATAATGTGCTCATTAGCGAGTTGTATGGTATCCTGAGGCTCATAATGAGTAATCAGGGTACTCGTGATTGGCATGTGGCTATCCGAATGCAACTACTCAACCCAATAAATTGGAGTTAGGACAGAATGTGTTATGTAAAAAGAAAAAATACAGAGCCAGCTGGTGAATTGGCAATTTCCTCCTTCCTGTAATTCAGGTACAGCTCCTGCTCTCAAATACAAAATAAATGTGAGAACAGGAGAGCTGGAGATAGCAGAAGAGCTGGAGATAGAAATGGAAATGTTCGCTAAGGGTGACAGAGAACAAGTGCCTATGATTATTATACAAGATTACCAAAAAAGATAAAACCTTTGTGGTATTTGGTTTCTTTTTCATATCTCAAGTATAGAATCAAAGTAAGAAATGAGCAGAGTTTCAATAACATTTCTTGGAAGGTGAAAATTTAATCATTGAAATATACTTCCTGATAATGTTCATAAAGCATTTTGCCTTCATGGTTTTAGCATGTTACTGCAAAATAGTTTGGCAGGCTGCAGGGAGAGATGCAGCTGAGTGTTGCATTCATTGTTATGTAGGTGATAAGTCACTATGGCAGGTGTTGTCTCTCTTGACACCCAATCCGACACGCTTTTCTTTTGCTTTCCTCTATTACAGAGGCTGGAAAGCAAAATATTTACCTTCCTAGACTCCCTTGCAGCTAGATGAAGGCCAGGTGACATTGTCTTGTCAATGAAATATAGGCACAAGGCCCTATGCAGGCTGTCCCTTTCTGAATAAAGCCTGGGTAAAAGAAAACCTGAGTCTCTTCCCCCTTTCTTCTTTCCTGAATGCACAGCAGCCATGCTGTGATCACTTGGACAAAAGCCACACACCACAGATGGCAGAGCAGGAAGATATTCAGCCTGATTCCTGAACATCCTTTGTGCAGCTACTTCAGCCTGGGTTGCCTGCCTTCACCCATCTTGTTACAGAAGAAAAAGACACCTCTCACTTGTTTAAGCCACTGAAGTAGTTTTTTTGTAATTGTGTTTGTTGTTGTTGTTGTTGCTGTTAACTAAAAATTAATACAATCTTACTCAATAGATCTTTATTAATAAAAATCCTGAAATGTAAGTATAAAGAAAATAACACAATATTGAAGTATTAATGCATTCTTAAATGATCTTCAAATATGATCATTATATCTAGAGATATTCCAAAAATATTCAGTGAAAGGAGGAATCGGTCTTTTTTACCTAGTATCACTGCCATGGAAAGACGATATCACTGGATGGGTGTCCTGGCAGCTCTTTCTTTCCTGGAACATTGCACATGCCCTGCTTTAAATGAAGGAAGCTTTTACTTTAGGCACTTAGTGTTTTTTGAATATGCTTTCTCATCCTTTCACGTGATAAAATTGATGTTAGACTGGGAACAATCTAGATCCCTTTGACAGGATATGCCAGAGGTGGGAAGAAAAAGTGGTTCAAGAAAGGATGAATTTGAAAAAGGATGGGTTAGAAGAAATGGGGAGTAAAGTTCCCAGTTAATTTATAGCTGGAAATAGTCACAAACCAATTCTTCAAGTCCACAGGCCAGAGGTATCCCTGGAGTCCACCCAGATCTGTTGCAAGTGAGCCCAGAATCAATGGAGGCCTCCCCCCAGGGAAGAGCCTATATTGAACTCACCCTTGCATCTCCAGCAGCTGAAGGCATTTAATACATTCTGGTCTGGTGGGTGGGTGAGTTAAAAGACAAGCATGGACAGAAAGGGCCCTAGTTAAGTCCGTGGAGATTTTAGAAGCTTTTTGGATCTGGATTTCTAATTTTGTTCATCCTCAAAAAGCCTGGCATCATGTAACTTGGTGTCAGAGTTGTGTTTCATTCAGGAAGCACATTTCAACAGCCATAAAAAATTAAAAAGTAAATTTTATCTTTATGTCTTTGAGAAATCCGTAATTACTCCACAATAAACTTACTAAAATGCTGTGTCAAAACTCTAGTCACTTTCCTCATTCAGCTCCGTCATGTAAGCTCTCCAACCTTACCTCCCACAAAGCCAAGTTTCCCTCTCCTTCCTTTCTTCTCATTCAGCCTATTATTATGTGATCTGCTTAGTATCTCTTCCAGCAAGAATTTCTTCTTTAGGATGTTGAGAAAGGGGAACTGGAGTTGGAATTTAATTATAGGATTTCTGTTGCAAGATAGCATAGCAGGAAGTCTATGGCTATTCTCACGTTAATAATTTTGCCCCATAACATCAGTTAAATTATCTCTCCATGTACTTTTTTATTGCTATAAAATTCAGATTCTAATTAGAATCGAATGTTTTAAAGACTGGTCCAAAATTGTTTAATAAAGTAGCACATTTCAAAACAGAGTGCTTTGTAGAAGTTATAGCCTTGTTCATTGCATGTAACTAAAATTAAAACAGTATCAAAACACATTAGCCAGGGTCTTATCACCTTCTTGCTCCACTTCACAAAAAAATTAACAATACATCTGAAAGCCTTCTGTGAAGATAGTGCTTCACAAAGAGCAAACAAAATAGAGGAGCTGGTTGGAGAGACAAAGCACAATATGTTGGACTGAATGAGACCCTCAGAGTTGAAGAATATCACACCGTGAATGAACCTTCCATTTTAACCCCATACTAAACTCCTCAGTTGAGAACTGGGTAAACTGAGGCCACCAACACTAAATGGCCTTCTGGAGTTTTAGTGGTTAGATGCAGGGCCAGGCTAGAATGTAGTTCTGATGACTCCAGTCCAGGATGCTGGTTGCTAAACTCCACGAAGGCCTTTGTACATCGATCTGCCTTTGAATTTCCTGGCACCTGCCTACCTGCATTCTGACTTCCTCTGGGATCCACATGTGGACCTGTGGCGCAACCTCTTGCTTGGCCAGGGTGAGCAGGGCATCAGCATTCCAAAGCTAAGAGAATAAGATACACACACACACGCACACACACACACACACACACACATCTCCAAAACTCAGACAGGAACATTTATTTTTATTTTGTTAAGTCAATGCAGTTTTCATCTAGAAATATAGCAAGAGCTCTACCATTTTTTTATTTGAACAATTGCTTAAAAAAAAAAAGAAAGGAATGATTATGTAGAAATGTTTTTGATGCAGAATTACTGAGCCTGGAGGCAAGGGGGCGGGGCGGGGCGGGGCGGGTGGAAGATAGTGCCCATCTTCTATTAGCAGCAGGATGTATGAGCACAGATGACAATCCGGTCCATGCTGTTCATCAGACAAAGCCTGAATCCTGGAAAAAGCCAACTCTTTGAACAGGAATTAGAGTGTGATCGGCTCAGTTGACGTACAGGGGTAGGTGAGTGCGAGAGTAAAGAAGCTCTTCTTTGTCTTCGGTAGTGCTGGGTTTCTTTTCCAGGCACACAGATGGCCTGCTCCCCCTGCAGCGCACCCAGATCCTCCCAGGGAGGCCGCTTCAGTTTCCACTTGGCCAGCGCCAGAAACGGGCTGCTGTGCTGCCAGCGCCTACGTTCCTCCCCGCGCTGCGCCAGGAGTCCCGTTCGGCGGGACCGCAGCTGCTGCCTTCACTCATTACCTGCCCCTGTCCTGGCAGCTCCTTCAGAACATATTGTTCTTTGGGGAAATATCATGGTTTTTGAACTGAGGACAGATTCTCTTCAGAAATCACATGGCAAAACATTAGAAAAAAAGAAAAACTAAGAAATTTAAAAATTCAGAACAGAAGACAATCGGTTTTATGCTAACTTTTATAACCTTAATCGTTGAAGCTTTTCCCCTCCTTTAGAGCAATTACTTCTATGCTGCCAAAAGAAATGAGAAGTGATTTCATCTGAGTCATTACTGTGCTCTCCCTCAAAGGATAGCAGACAGTAATTAGTACTCCACACCAGACCTGCCTCAAATTTGGCATAAACTGCATTCGTCCTTTACAGAGCCGAAAATGAAGCACTTCTAAGTCTTAGAATCTTCTCGTGAATTTCTGTCATTTGGCAGAAATTTCTGGAGTCGTTGCTTCTTATAGATCTTTTCTACTGTTAACTTTAAAAAAATAGACTTTTAACAATTGGCAAATGGCACCACATTACCTTCAGAGTGAAATCACCATCTGAAAGCATTCGAAGTAAGGGGAGGGGAAAAGTTAGACCCCCATTTTAGTTTCCTGGCAATATTGAGATCTAGAAATTCATCCTAGAAGCTGTTTGCCATTTCCAAAGTGCCTAGGACAGCCCATCAATGAGGGCAAAATCCTCAGGGGCAACTGGACACGAGCGGTCCTTTTTGGAAGACTTTATGAATAGCCACAGAAGTACAGGTGTTGGGCATTGATGTGTGCTAGACCCAGAGAAGCAGGGAGGCTTCGTCAGAAAGCCAACCAGCCATCCAGAATGTGGTCATGGACTGGGTAAAGCTCCCCGCTAGTATTGTGTACCTTAGAGGGTTTCCAGAACATGGTGCAGGGAGGGTGAACCCAGACTCTCTGATTCCAGGCAACAGAGCTGAGAGTCCAGGGACACCAAGGCGGCTATTGCTCACAGGACAGAATGAGAGAGAAGGGAGCTGCAGAGAGAGAATCCAGGTCTGCAGAGGGTCCCTTTGGAAAATGCAGCAATATCTGTTAACTTCTTAGAGCCGTTAACGCTGATTCATGTTGTCTCACAGGAACATGGCAAAAGTGACAATATACAAAATACTTGGGTTTTATTTTCAAGGAAAATCACTGTGAGACTTGATTTGTGCTGTCCAATTCAGTAGCCACTAGACACACATGGCTATTGAAATGTAAATTAAAAGTAAATGAAGGTTAAAAATGCATTTCCGGCAGGGCTTGGTGGCTCACGCCTGTAATCCCAGCACTTTGGGAGGCTGAGGCGGGCGGGTCACGAGGTCAGGAGATCGAGACCATCCTGGCTAACACGGAGAAACCCTGTCTCTATTAAAAATACAAAAAAATTAGCCAGGTGTGGTGGCAGGTGCCTATAGTCCCAGCTACTCCGGAGGCTGAGGCAGGAGAATGGCATGAACCCAGGAGGCAGAGCTTGCAGTGAACCGAGATCGCGCCACTGCACTCCAGCCTGGGCAACAGAGCGAGACTCCGTCTCAAAAAAAAAAAAAATGCACTTCCTCAGTTGCATCAGCTACATTTCAAGAGCTCAATAAACATCTGTGGCCAGTGGCTACTATATTGGACAGCACAGATAGAGAACATCTCCATCACTGTAAAAGTTCAATTGAAGAGTGCTGGAATATACAGTTTTAAAATACTTAAGAAAAGAATCTCATTTTTAGAACCAAGTCACTTGACTTTTTCTTAAACCAAGATTTTTGTATGTATGTACCAATTTGATCTTGAATTTATTTAAAAATTTTGAAAAAATGTAAAGCATTTCAACATTTGACTTTTAGTTTCAAGGACATCTTATAACAATTCTTTTAATCACCATCTGTTTTATAATGAAATATGTCTAAAGAAGGCACCAACTTAACCTTCTTAGGCAGATGTCCAATCAATAGGTTGTCAAAGGAAAGGAACTAATATTCTTCCTGATAGCTAGTTTCAGCAATAATAAATTATTTTGTATTTTTTTTCCAAATGTAGGTTTGATTGGACAGTTTCTTGAGTCAGATTTTCTCTTGAGTCAGATTTTCTTGTCTAGATTTTCTCATCCTAAAAGCTCATGGTATTGACATTTTTCTCCTGAATATGTAGATAGGTAGACATTTTGAATATATGGTTATAGTAACAGTATTTAATGAGCTCAATTCCACTTACTTCTGACAAATAAATTGGAAACAGAAGAGTCTTTTCCATCATTATTAAGGGCAGGCATTTTCTCCAAGGCTGTGAAAAACGATTCCTCTTGCTGCCTAAGGCGTTTCAATTGCAAAAACAATTTACCACCATATGGATCCCTCCAGGAGACTTCAACTAGAATAAAGAGGGAAATCTACTCCCATGGGGACTCTGGGGTTTTTATGGAAGATAGGGGCAGAGTTCTTGGGGATTAATTATAGAAAACAAGCCCACACTTCATCCCAGTCCCCTCTGAGGGTAATGTGTTGCCCAACAGACAGCACCATGGGGTGGCTGAAGATAGCTTTCTCCATGGAAACGGAGAACGGATTTATGGTAGAGTCAATCATTGCTGCAGAATTCCCTGGCTATTAATGCCGGTTTCCTCAGGCCTTGCTGAAAGCAGGCTGAGATTGTACTAGGATGAAGGGGATGTACCAGAATCCTTCAAGACTAACATTATCTTATGTGAAATTTGGCAAAGGGCTTTTAGACAGGAATGAGATCTCTGATGTGTGGAAGATGTAATGACACAAATGTATCATGAAATGTGAAGGCATCTAAAGGTACAGCATGGTGGGACATAGGGTGGGACTGAACCAATGAGCAACGGTCATCACCTGAAGAATCATTCTTCTCTACTTCTTTCATCCCAAATGTCCCAGCAACATGAGACAAATTTCATTCTTAAGCTATTCTTTCTTAATCCCTCAGCTTTTTGCTTTGGAATCACCGAACCACTAATATCAAGTTCAGTTTATTTACCTTTTAGAAAGTTCAGTTGCCTTTTAGAAAGAAAGCTATTAAGTGCGTTTTATAAAAGCAATGACACATGCTCTATACATATACTTGGAAAGGAGTAATTAATACTTTGATTTTTTGAGGTTTGTTATCCTCAGCTACTATCATGTTAAACAACACTCACTTCAACTGTATTGTTTTCATTAATATTCATAGATTATTTAATATGTCATCTAAAATAATTAATGTATTGATATTCTGAGAAGAGTTACATAAAACATTGTGGGGGATTACTAAGATATCTAGCAAAATCTGCCTCAAAATCCTTGTACTTGATTGAAATGACACAGTTATCAACTTAAAGCCCAGCATTCCTAGATTCAATGAGGAAAAAACACACTTACTGAGAAATTGTTAATATAATATTAATAGTCCATCAACAATAATTTTCTAAAACAAAGCTATAGATTTTCATCACAGTTCAGTATACATAGAGACTAATCCAGCTAACAGATGCAAGCATTTAATAGTTGGCCTGGGTTGGAGCATGACCTTGAGGAAGGCACCTGATTTCTCTGGTTTTGAAAGTCTGTCTCCTAAAAATAAAGTATGGAGATGTCATAGTGAAGAGATAAGTCTTTGGGGGTTGAATAATGTTCTATTAGAGTAAGTTCAGTAGAATTTATTGAAATATTGGTGAGCACTACTGTAAAACAGAGACCAGAAGTGAAGCAGAGGTTCAAGTCCATACTGTAGCCTGGCCTGTTCTGTTGTCCCTGGACCCGTGTGTATATACATCTGGAGCCACTGTTGGTCCCACCTAGACCCTGCATGTATGTGTGGGGTATAAGTCAAAGAGGATGCAGTATTTCAATGTCATTTCTGAAAAGGTAGCTGATTTATATGGCAGTCATCATAGAATCTAAATGAAAGCATTCATTCTTACTGATTTTTACCTCTTGTAAATGAAGAAACAAAAGACAGTGTAGGCCAACTATTAATACAATGGCTCAAGCCTGCAATCCCAGCACTGTGGGAGGCTGACATGGGTGGAACATCCTCAAGGGAACTCCTTGAGGCCAGGAGTTCAAGACCAGCCTGGGCAAATATAGTAAGAAGCTGGCTCTAAAAAATATTCAAAAATTAGCCAGGCATGGTGGTGCACACCTGTAGTCTTAGCTAATGGGAGGCTGAGGAGGGAGGATCATTTGAGCCAGGAGTTTGAGGCTGCAGTGAGCCGCTATCCACCACTGCACTCCAGCCTGGGCAACAGAGCAAGTCCCTGGTTCTAAAAAGGAAACATACAAACAAAAAGCATGTGCATGTGTGCACACTCAAACACACAGTGTAATGGGGATATGTGTCAGAAGCCTTGGGTTCTAATTCCTGCTCTGAAGGTGGCGTGACTCCAGGCAAGTTCTTTTACCTAAATAGGCTTCCATTTCCTCATCTGAAAACTGAAACTGGATATGGCTGTGGTCCCCACTAAAATGTCAACAGGAATCAGATGCAGCCTGGCCTTAAGAAGATAAAGGAATCATAGTGGGGCTCCTGCTGGGATGCTGAAGACTGTGAGAAAATGGAGTCCTTGCCTCCTACTGGGGACTGTTAGTATGCAGCTCTGGTCAGTTGTCTCCAGCTGGGGATGCAGGCTCTGTGTTGTCATACTATCAGATTTTTCAAGAAATACAGAACTTCCGATTTTTATGTCAAATATTCTTGTATCTAAATATTGGTAACTGAAGGATTAAAAAAAAAGACCAGTGCGAAGGCCAAACTAAACATCTCTATGGGGAATGGGGCCTGTGCCGCTATTCTGTGAAGTCGGATTAGAAGCCTCTGGTCTGTGCCTACTCTGTGGCTCTACTGGTGGATGGAGAAGGGTGATCTGTGACACAGAGCACTAACTCTAGGCACCACTCTACTGACTCTTCTTTCCGCTTTGTTTCATTAACATATGAACAGAGTAGGGAATGAAAGCAACCACAGTTAGGGGAATGGATGCACTTTTACAAAAAGACAGCACATAAAATAAATGCTCTTCGTGAGTCGGGATCTGGAGGAAATGGTAGAGCTGCAGTATTGTCAATGAGGTCAAGGCACAGAGCAACCGGAAGCTCAGTGTGTAGTTATTTCCCCCTCGGCAGCTCAGGAGGAACATCTCTGAGTTGATTGCAAAGCCCAAGCCAAAGAGGACCCCAAGGTTTCTCACGAGTCCAGCAAAAGGCGTGGTGTCAATGTGGATCCAGTCGGGGTTAGCACACCACTTTTTGGCTATGGGCACGGACCACAGCAGGTCAATGTTGAGCACCCTAAGAAGCAGGTAAAAGCCAACTGCAAACAGGAAGAGAAAGAGGTTGGTCTTCAGGTATGTGCCCAGACTGGCCGTTTGGATGCCTGGAGTGTGTTCAAAGGCCTCTGCCACCAGCATGCCTGAGGATTGGAAAGAGACACTGACAATGACTGTGTGCCCTTGAGCCCCTCGAGGATCATTCCTCTCTGCATTAAAGATTTGCCACAGTTTTCAATGACAAAGGGCATTAGACACAGAGGTTCTATCCATTTTCCAAAGCCTTTTTTAGGCAGTAACTAAAAATGCAGGTTTGCCCACGGTGTTTTCATTATTCATACTAGTCCAGAAGGATCGTTCTGGAGTTGGTGGCACTGACTGACAACCCGCTTTTTAGACAGAGCACTGATCTAGGTACTTGCAATTAACATTTCAATTGCCATAGCCAATTAGCCTTTGAAAGGTAAGGTGGTGCTGAACAATGGAAACTGAGTCATGGTGAACACTGCTTCAGGAATACAAAGCAGCTACTAAATGGAGTCCGTAATCATGTAATAGTCACTTCACATGTTTCAGAGAGAATGGCACAGTGTGCAGGGCTCAGAGTCATTAAGTTCCCTCACGCAAGACACAAGCACACTGTCTGAAGTGATGGTTTGGGAGTTAGACTTAGCTCTAATTTCACTTCAGAAAAGCCTACCTCATGAAGCAATTGTGCATTTACGCCACTGAGATTGTGCCACTTTGTACATGGAGGCTATGAGAGGTGTGTTGTACCACGTCAGCTCCCGGGGTAGCATTTAGTATCAGTGACTTCACAGAATTACCTCTGAAATTGGAAAGTTGATTACCGGGGACAATCTGATACCCTTAAACATAATGAAACTAAAGCTTTCAAAGGACACAGCTAAAGGTAAGTGATCATATTTACCACCAATTACTCCAAGAATAACTTGATGAGGAAAATGTGTTGCTATGAATACTCTGGAGATGCAGACACTGATTTGAATCAACCAAAAAACACTCCAAAGAAATGACCAGGTCAGTCTACGATGGAAGAATAGATACAAGCATAAAAAGCAAAGAAACTGGATCACTCAAAATTAGAGGGGGTGACATCAGATGATCCTTCTCAGAAGAATCTTCTAACTGTGACATAGCATCATGATTCTAGAATCTTTTTTTTCAAAATGTTGTTTCCACATACCCCATAGGATTTGAGAAGTTTTAACAGAGATTTCTACATTTCTCAATGCATTAAATTTAACCAGTGCTATATACTGAGATTTAATAAATGTTAAAAAGGAAGTCATTTTGACATCCATTAAATAAGAATAACTGTTTTAATGGAGTAGGGGAAATTCAAGTTTGGGGGAATTACTAATATCCAGAATGATCAAGAATGAACCATATATATTTTCACGCCCTGCCCTATGTGCCTCCTCTCTCAACCTTTCTTTGCTTGAGGAAAACTCAGTAGAAACGCAGCTACCATCCAGATGAAAAGCGCATGAGCATTCCATCTGGGGCAAATTTTTTCATTGGGTTTAATTGCACAGATTTTCAAAAGTCCTTGTTTCTTGTTTTTTTTTTTTCTTTTGTTTTGGGTTTTGTTTTGTTTGTTTTTTTTTTTTTGAGACACAGAAAATAGAGAACAGGGGAATTGACCTATAGGTTATACACTTTGGATTAAAAACAGCAATGCACAAAAAACATAAAAAAATATTAAAATCCAAGCAATGCATGTCATTGAAAAAAAAAAGTGTTAGCAGTATTGAGTTCTAGGAATCCTTGAATGGTTTGTTCCTGATAATCAGACTGAAATTTGGTTATATAAATGCTAAGGAACACAGAGAAATGAGGCTTTGAAAGAAGAAGTAAGTGGGATACCAATGTGGAAGAAGAATAAACAAGAATTTGGTAATGTAAAGGTAAGAAGCACACACTCAGTAAAATTTTATAGATGAAGAAAATACTGCAGTTATAAAAACTAAAAAGGAGTTATGAGAATTTTTTTCTTAGAAGAAACATATTTTTTCAGGTTTGGTCATTGGAGGCAGGAATACAGTATAGAGAAAAGGTGAAACTGACCTAGATTCCTACTTTGAAAATTGTCTGTAAATAGAAAATGCTAACTTTTTTACATTATAGCACCTTTTTATGTTGTTGTTTTGGGTTGGGCAATAAATACATTAAGGCATACAGGTCACAGTCTCATTAGAATAAACTTTTAAGACACCCAAATTCCTTTAGTTGTTTGTTTTTTATATTATCCAATACTACTCTAACAAGTGGAATATGTGATAGATCTTGACTTTTTTTATTTTAGAAAACTTTTTAATAATGGCATATGTTACAGTATTTTTTTAAGGTTAACTTGCAAATCTAATTTCAAGTCACCTAATTTATGGCTAAATTGGTACTCAGGATTGTTTTAATGACAAAGTATTTCAGGAAAGAAGAGAAGGAAACAACCCAATTTCTAAGCAACTGTGAGTAACCTTTAAGTTCTAGATCTTTCTAAACATTAAGAAACCTACTAACATTAAATCTACTAACATTCAAATTTAAGTTTGCTTCCAGAATGTTTTTAATTAAAAAGTTTGTGCTCTCTATAAAGCTGGAATATATGTTACTGAAATCAAAAGCATTGGCTATTCGAAGAAGGAAGCATAATTTTACTGAATAAACTGATGCAGTCAAGGAGAATGATGATTCTCAAAACTTCCAGTTAATTTTAAAGCAAGGGAATGTGCATGCAAAAATGTTTCCTTATGCTGTATAATTTTAGACGACTTATTTATGAGTTATCAAAATAATTATTGCATTTTGGAAACCCAGAGGCACATTTAGCAAGTCATTAATCAGTTAAACATTTCCAACTTGAAAAGTGGAAATAGCTATGAGCTAATTAGGCTATTATCTTAAAGCAAAATATTAGTTTTCTATTCATTTTGTTATTTTGTCTATGAAAGAATAGAATAAGCACATTTTATTCATTGACTAAAACTGCACTAAAATTAATTTTTAGACAAGACTTTCTGTATTAAAAACTGTCATATTCCAGTGCTACAGAAACTGCAGCAAAGCTGACCTGTGCAGAGTGATAGAGAACTTATCCATCCCACAGACAGTGTGGCTCAGGGCAGCGGTTACCATGACATACCAGACACAGGATGCGCCCATTGCATGGCCAGATGGACTTCCTGCAACAACAAAGTGTCCGTCCATTTGAAAAGTGGTTAACTATCAAGATCAGAAATGAATAATAGAATAGCATATTCCCCATGAAAATTATGAGTAACTCAGAAAAAAAGACAAGACACAGGCTATATGTAATGTTTAGAAGTGGGTAGAAATAAGAAAAATTGAGTTAAATTGAGCCTGAGAAACACTGTCTCAAAAAATTTTTTTCCCAGATTTTCAGGTTCATTGAATTCCAGAAATCAATATACTCAAGGCTAATTAAGAACTCAGGCAGTTGCACCCAAATCTGCCACAGCCCTACTCATTCTTCAATATTTGGTTGTTTTTAATTGACAAGCAAAAGTATTAGGTTAATGCAAGAGTAATTGCGGTTTTTGCCATTGAAAGTAATGGCAAAAACCGCAATTACTTTTGCACCACCCTAATGCTTGTATTGGATCTTCAGTTGGCTTATTTTCCTTGGGCTGAGAAGTCAAACTCTAAAGGATATCATTGCTATGCCAGTGATTTGCTGATTGACTTACAAATGACTGCTGTGTACTAGCAGCTACTTCTATGCCTATCTTGTGGCCACTGCAGTGAGAATCTTTGTTTTAAAACAGAGGATGAGGAGAAGCTATAAAGACGGCATTAATCCTAGCAGAAAAAGCCTTTCTACTTCCAGAATGCCTTTTCCATGCTACTGAATTTTTTATTAGTTTCCTTAAATGTCCTCCTCGATTTTTCACCTGGTAGTTCATTCAAATTAAATACCAGTCTCTTATTTGTTAAACAAAGACAGACCTATTTCTTATCTGCAGGAATTTTCAGAGCCTTTTAAAAACTATGCCTTAAAAAATTGTAAATCTCCCCGAGAGATGCAGTCTTTCTTTCTTTTCTCTCTCTCTCTTTCCAGAAAATGTCTTATAAGGTGGAACACATGCCGGAAAGGACTGGAATTGACCACGATAACATTTCGGTGGTCTCAAATGTTACCCATCCAACCATTCATCCATTTATCACACTTTGGTTTCACAAAGATAAACTATGCATCATCCCTCCCCTGATGGAACACCCAGTCTAGGCAATCGGATATATAAAGAATTAGTTAATATCATTTAGTGTAATAAGCGATATAACAGATGTATGTATACTTCTATGGGAACAAAAAAGACATATTCAGAACACTCATTAAGAATTTACACATTCTCTACTACCCTTTACTCAAAGTTAGTTTCGAAGGATGTCAACTGGCGAGAATGTTATGCTATGTAAAATGATGAGGTACAATATAACACATTCTTATAAATTAAAATGTAATTTTTAAATATATGTTTCAAAAAACTTTTTAAAACAGTCTTAGAATCAACTATCACAATAAAGATTTTATACTCATACAGAATCTTACCTAGAATAAAAAAGAAGTGGCCCAAGAAGCCTACTTGTGTACAGAGAAAAAATATGTTTTAAAGAGATTGTTCTAGGGTTAGAAATAGTCTTTACTGGCTATAGTAACATTGAGAAGTCCTTACCTTTCTTACAGAAGACTTGTCTACTCCTCCCTCATTCGTGAGATACTCGGAAGACCTATAGTAACTTTGAAAGTTGCTTAGCAGCAGATTAACCAACATTTCTAAGATCTTAGTCTAGTTCCTTGAGAATTTGTTCTAGTTAACTGTTTCTTGTTTTAGTATCAAGTCATTATATTCTTCTGAAAAGTAAACACCAAATATTTAATCACTGGGGGAGTTTTCTCCCAATCTACCCTTTCATAAATAACAAAATGGAATTTGAGTATTTTTTTTGCTTTGCTTCCTCATTAGTAATTTTGATTGTTATGAAGTTTTAGCATCCTCACTCATGAGATTTTCTTTACTACCCTATATAATATCAGTTCCTAGATGATAACCCTGTGTAATGATTCTCTATTGGAAGATCTTCAGTAACTGGAGCCTGCTGTAATAGCTTACCTGGACCTGTTTCACATGTAGTAGGGAACTGTTCAAGGCATGGACTTGAGTGATTTGGGTAAATCTGAGTTTCTTGGACCCACCAGTAAGGTCGATGACCAAATAATATCCTGTATTTAAAGAATTATAAACATGCATATATATTTAAATACACAGCTATTATTTAATTGGAGATTAGCAATTCTTTCCTATAAAAAATGACTCAAGCGCAGGGTTAATTGTGAAAGTTCATGATTAAGAGACTTTGAAAAAACTTAGGTCTTGGTCTCTCACACATTATTAAAGGTGGTAGCCATTTGGTATTTTGGCACCCTGGTTTCCCATGAACATGGGGGCTTTTTTCCCTTGCAGGGAATGTCTTATGGGTGCTTTGGATACTTAGACTGGAAATATCAAAATTTGTCCCTAGAATTATCAATTTGTTCATTATCACGCTGCTCATGTAAGTAATTCTTAATCACAGAATATGTGTTACAGGGGTTTGGGAATTACTTATAAGTCATTAAAGTACACATTTCTGGCCTGGCGTGGTGGCTCACACCTGTAATCCCAGCACTTTAGGAAGCCGAAGTCGGTGGATCACCTGAGGTCGGGAGTTAGAGACCAGCCTGACCAACATAGAGAAACCCTGTCTCTACTAAAAATACAAAATTAGCTGGGTGTGGTGGCACATGCCTGTAATCCCAGCTACTCGGGAGGCTGAGGTGAGAGAATTGCTTGAACCTGGGAGGCAGAGGTTGCAGTGAGCCGAGATCACGCCATTGCACTCCATCCTGGGCAACAAGGGCAAAACTCTGTCTCAAAAAAAAAAAAAAAACAAAAACATATATATACATTTCTGTGCCTTTTAAAAGTTCTACTTATGAATCTGGTGTTTCAAGTTACCTGGTATTTTTGAAAGATTTTCCAAGTAAAACGATATACATCTGAAATGTGATCATTATGCCGAAGTCACAAATTTAAGGATAAATCTTAGGAAAAAATGAAATAAAACAGAAATCTTACCATTTAAATATAAGATTTAACCAATCCCCAATGACTGCTACCCATATCATCTTGGTTCCAACTGTCTGATTAAATTGAAAACAAAGTGGAAAATAAATGAAAAAGATATTCCTGGGGTCTCCAACATTGGACATAAAATTTAGAAAAGTGTAGTAAGCTCGGTAGTCCTTCTGCAAATGCTGAATTATGAGCACTCCATTCCTGTGAAGGAAATCCATCTTGAAAAAGAGGCAATTCTAAACATAGAGCAATTGGAGCTGAAGTGCTCTGATTCCCACCGTTTTTATACTGTGCCTTTGTGGCATGTCGAGCCATTACTGCAACATGTGATGCTGACCATCTGTGGAGAGGGCACACCAGCCCTCCTCTGCTGAATAGCTCATCTATTTATGATTTTAATTGGTGGCAAAGAGTGAAGTACATGCTGATCTGTGGCAATTCGAGGGGGAAATTTGGATAGAAACACAATGAATTTCTTATGCAACCTCCCTTTTGTGCGAACAGTTGGATCATGTTTGCTTGAAATTTTTTGTACAGTTCATTTCCTCCAAGGTCAGACATTAGCAATTTCTATGTTTGGTGAAAAGACTTTGCAAATAATTATTGCATGTCAAATAGCCCATAAAGCCCTGCATTTTAATTTAAGATAGGCTGTGGCTCTCTATTTTATTGGGTCTTTGAGGAAAATGGTTGAATAAATATCTGGGTATGAAAAATATATGATATGACAGATTATGTTCTGATCACTGATTTAAAATAAGAATAGTTCAATTTTCTTTATCCAAGAGAATGATAGAATATATATGGAACAGGGAAAGAAATGTGTTGTTTTTTGACTATAAGACAAGAAAGCAGAAATGAAAGTCATTTGGATAATAGAAATGTGTTAGGATCAAATTGTATCTTTTATTAACTAGAGAATACAGTTGAGAGGAATAGGGAATGATTCATGTGACAAAGATAGGAATAGACATCAAAGGGCTTTTGACCAATCAGGAAAATGGTTTGTTGAGAACAGAGTGTTAAACAGAAGTGGAAAGCACCAAACAAATGCTAAGAATGAACAGAAGGGTAGCGCAAAGAGGCTGTGGATCTAAGTCATAGGTCCATAATCTACGGCTGTGGACTATGACTAGACTATAGACCAGGACTCTGGTCCTGGACTATAGACTACGACTGGACCCTGGACTATGGACCAGGGTAGACTGAGAATGAACAGAAGGGTAGCACAAAGAGGCTATGGATCTAAGTCAGAGAGATGTTGGGTTTAGAGAGCTGGATTGTGTCTAGGATTAGTGGGAAAGCAACAAAGCCTCACAAGGTGGCCAGGGATGGATCTAGGTAACCTTACTTGTTATTTTGTCATTCAGATTTTTGTCTTTGCTTACCATGGCCTAAGTAAAGACAAAAGACTTCACTAGAGTCCTTCACAGGCTATAACTATCACTTTGAACTTCTCTTCGAGTTTTGTGTCCCATCATTTAACAGCACCATTGTTACTGGGCTTCAGTGTCTATTGGTACCTTACCTGGAAGAAATGCATTGACTGACCATTAACATCTTTTGGGGTGCTTTTTAAATTGCCATAACTGTGTTCCACCTGAGATCAGTTATATTTCTGGTAATGGAATTTGGGCATTGGTATTATTAAAATACTTCTCAAGTGGTTCCAATGTGGTATAAGGGGCTTAGAATCATTGCACTAAGGCAATTCATATAAGGAATTATCCTTGACTAATTAGAGTCTATGCTTCTGGCTTTTCTTTGTTTTGCATATTCAGGTTCTGTAATTTCCATAATCTCTTTAATGAGCCATGAGGAAGAGCATAACTTCCCTTTATTCTTTTTCTAAAAAGTGTTTGATCTACGTAATTCATAATACTCATTTTCTTCAGAAATGTCTTATCCTTAAATCAGGATGTGAATGATATCAAATACATTTTGTCTTCCACTTAAAAATTAAACTTCCTGCTCTTCAGCACCTCAGAGTCTGTGATTAGCCTTTCATCTATGGTAGTTAATTTAGAAAGATTTTCTCTCGAGAACTACCTGGTTCTGTAGACTGTGGGATAATTAAGTGAAGCAAAAGCATCTTGATTTCTTTCACCCTTTAACAGCATCTGCTAATCTGCTTATTCCTCGTAGTTCATCATTTTTAGTCTTTTCATATCTTAGCTTCTATGCATCCATCGGTGATGCCTTCTCTGACCAGCATCCTCACCACTCCTCTGACAATACTTTCTCTCACACACTCTTTTCTCCTAGGGGGTTGTTTGAGTCTGCTAGGGCTGCTATAACAAAATACCAGACTGGGTGGCTTACACAACAGAAATATAGGAAACTAGGAGTCTGAATCAACGCGTCGGTGGCGTTGATTTCTTCTGAGCCTCTGTCCTTGGCTTGCAGATGACTGTCTACTCTCTATGTCTTCACATGGTCTTCCCCGCTATATGGGTGTGTTCTAATCTCCTCTTTTTATAAGGATACCAGTCTTATTGGATTAAGGAAGATACTAATGACCTCATTTTAACTTAATCACCCCTTTAAAGACCCTATCACCAAACACAGTCATTTTGGGAGGTACTGGGGCTTAGGACTTCAACATGAATTTGAGGGAATACAGTTCAGCCCATAACCGGGAGTTAAACACAATTTATAATTATATATTTATGACAAGTGTATATATTTAGCATCTCTCTCCTGTACTACAGTATAAGCTCCATAAAACAAGGGGTCCTGTCCACTTTGTGCAACAGCCACAAGCACAGTTCCCATAACAGGCCCGTGTAGAAGCCAATTACCCATGAAGCTGGAAAAGTTCGCACGGGCGCCTAAGATGGTAGGTTGGGCCGGGCGCAGTGGCTCACGCCTGTAATCCCAGCACTTTGGGAGGCCGAGGTGGGCGGATCACTTGAGGTCAGGAGTTTAAGACCAGCCTGGCCAACATGGTAAAACACCATCTCTACTAAAAAAAAAATACAAAAATTAGCTGGGCATTGTGGTGGGCTACTGTAGTCCCAGCTACTCGGGAGGCTGAGGCAGGAGAATCGCTTGAAACCCGGGAGGTAGAGGTTGCAGTGAGCCAAGATCGTGCCACTGCACTCCAGCCTGGTCTACAGAGTGAGACTCTGTCAAAAAAAAAAGGCAGGTGGTTACTGATAGTTTAGAGTGCATTCACGAGTTTATTTTCTTTTTATTAAAGAGAGGGCCTATATAACAGGGGCTTTATAGAGGGGCCTATATAAAGCCATTTAACAGGGGCTTTAGATTTCACAAAACCTGGAACTGCCCCTGGGCCCATCATAGTTATTTAGTAAATGTTTATTGAGTGAATGAATTATTGAACAAAGTTGATATGAGTACTAAATTATAAAGAGCCTGTGTTTTAAAACTATGTTATTTGGTTAGTGCAAACTCAAAATGCATTTCTCCACAGAGATCATGTTATATAGTGGCAATGTCAAGAAAGTGTATTTAAGGTGGAGAAAATATATATAATGTGTATTCTAGAAAGGGCTAATATATTTGTATGTGTATATGTGTGTGTGTGTACATACATATATAAATATGTATGCAGATGTGTGTATATGTATATATACATATATTAGCCCTTTGTGTGTGTGTGCATATATGTATATATACAATTATATATACATATATAACATATATACACACACATATATACACATATATGTACACACACACAAACACACACATCTGCTTATGATTAAATAGAAGAATAAACAATTAAAAAATATTTTGGCCAAGCATGGTACCTCACATCTGTAATCCCAGCACTTTGGGAAGCCATAGTGGGAGGATCACTTGAAGCCAGGAGCTTGAGACCACCTGGGAAACGAAGCAATACCCCACCTCTATTTAGTATATATTTATTTTATATACATTTATTACATGTGATAAATTATATAATTTATCACATGTAATAAATTATATAATTTATTGCATGTAATAAATTATATATATTTATCACATGTAATAAATTATATAATTTATTTATATATAAAAATACATAATAAATATATATCTATTTTTATATATTTATATTTATATAAAAATATATATGTAATAAATAAATATTTATTATATGTAATAGATATTTATTATATGTAATAGATATATTTATTATATGTAATAGATATATTTATTATATGTAATAAATTTATATATTTATTATATATAAAATAAATATATTTTTAAATTCTGTAAAGGAAAGAAGAGAAGAGAGTAGAGGGAACAGGGTTAAAAAGTAGACTTCTTTGAACATACTTATTTTATAGATGTGACTTTGAAACCATGTAAATATTTTACATAACTATACAACAAAATTAAAATTAAGATGTGATTCATACAAAATTTTAAAAACGAAAGAAGTGAAAACACCACTTGATCCATTATACTGGTGAGCTATTCTTCCCAGCACTTACATGTATTTTATGATTTGTTCCTGTGGGAAATCTCTTTCTACACATTTCTTTAGTCCTCCTCATCTACCGTCTGCCACTCGAGTTGCCACGGCTTAGGGTGGGGATGTTCCTGTATCCTATGTGGGCCCCAGCAGTAGGGAGATAGAGGAAGTTGGTTCTTTCTGACACTAGTAATCTTCCAGTGGAGCTCTTCCCTCCAATGACACAGCCTGCCTGACAAGCTGGGTCATTTCAAAGCCAAGGTTGTTAGAGTTTAAGATCTGTCCAAAATCAGTTTACCAAATGATGGAACAAAGTCACATTCAACCTACCCAGACCAAGATCCAAAAGAGGGTAGATCCACCTGACTCATCCTCTTTTTGAAGTTGTCTTTCCTAAAGTGTGACCTGTGGACCACCTTCCTCCTGTCACCTGCATGCAATTTCCAGGCCCACTCCAGATCACAGAATGAGACATTTTGGAAATTAAATCCAGAAAGCGTTTTAGTAAGGTTTCCACATGGTTTCTATACACATTAATTTTTAGAAGCGCTGTCTTCATTCATCATTCCCTTGAAAGGTACCCCTCCTGTACCTCCTGTGCAGAGCTGGCCTCTTCTTGTACCACTTTCTCAACTTCTACCTTAAGTCATTTTTTTTTCATTTGCCTTATTTGGGGTTCTGTATTATTCCACTCTTTCCCATGGATGCAGGCGTGGTCTGTTTCCATATTCTTCCTTTTAGATCTCCTTTTTATTATCTTTTTTTAAGGCACATGGTAAATACTCAAAAAATACTAGCTATAATTAATATTAGTTATTCCTATTTTGCCAAATAGTCTGTAAATGTGGAACTGAATTCAAGCTCTGACATTCTTGATCAGAGTAGAAGTAGGGTAAAGTGATACAATTTTGCTCTTATACACAATTCTTATGTTGCTTCTCTTTTGTACTCTGACATCTCTGCCTCTACCCCACTCTCTCTGTTCTCTCCTCTCTTTTCTTCTCCCCCCACCCCACCTCTCACTCTCTTTTTTCCTCTATCCTGGCTCCCCTTTTTTCATACTAATATTTAGTCATCTAAGTGTTTTAATTGGTCACTGTCAACTCCAACAGAGCAGAGACAAGTCTGAATTGCTCACTATTGCATCTGGGAATCCAGCCAAATGCCCTACACATTAGGAGATGGTTTTCAAAAATTATACAGCCAGCCACCATTCCTGACTGGATCACCTCCTTTTCTTCCTGCTATAGTAGAACTCTCCATTTGATCCCTCCAAGTGTTCAAGGACTTGAACTCTGCTGTGTTAGAAAAAGCACTTTTGGAGTGGAAGAAATCTTTATGAGTCTGTGCTTTGGGGTCTAACCTTAGCCAGATCTCTTCAGTCACCAGGCAGTCTATAACGCAAATTGATTTATTTAGGGGTCAGCGAACTTCCTAAAATTGCGTGCAAAATGTTTGTGCTTGTACGTATCTGTTGGAAGAAGCCACAATTTTCACCAGATTCTCAATGGAATCCCAAGCAAATTAAGTACAGCGTGAGGTTCACTGGAATCCCATGCGCTATCCGTGGGGCCTATACCCAGGATCCTCCCATTTCCCCAGTTTCCTCAGAGATATCTTCATAACTCCATCCACCCCAGCATGAGTTTCTTGTCTTAATGACGTCCTTCCTCTTAATGACTGTTTATTTCTTAAATATGTTACTGCTATAGTCGGTCCCCCAACCCTATGCTGCTGCCTTGTTTTTTAGTTCATCCCTGTAGTTGAATACTTCCAGTTCTTTCTAGAATGTTCTCATTCCGATTCATTTAAATTTTTCTGAGATTTTGATTTACAGTAAATCCCTACATGTATTACATAGTGGGACAGAGGATAGAATTTCTCCAATATGTTTCACCACATCAAATATTATATAACCACAAGATATTTCTTATTGAACCATTCATGTCTGGATTATAGTGCTTGCTACAATTCAACACCATTCAGAGATATTTGACTTTAGCTTGTGTTACTTATGAGGTGGCAGTAAACAACAATATATTTTGTAGGCATTGACCTTTAATGTCTCTGCATGGTCATTATCCTTTTACCACAAACTTATCTGCCTTTTCTAAAATAAACTATTTGAGATCTCTCCAGTGTCACCTTGCAATTTAAAATGGATTTATTTCAGATGGAATTTAGACCCTAGTGACTTTCAGAAAATCATTACCTTCAGTCTGGCTAGCATCCCAGGAATATTGGCAGTCCATAATGACACTGTTATAAATGGCCCTGCTACAGCTCTTTGAAGTACCCCCCTCCATTAGTCTTCTTAGCTACTTTTCTCTAGAAATGATCATGACCTATACATCTATACACTTTTTCTTGGATTACCAAAGGACCCAACAGAGTTGCCTATTGAGCAGTACTATTAACTTTCTTCAAAGTAGAGTTAATATATTGTATAGCTGTGTTCATTTTTATAGATGACTTAAAAAGTACTGTGTAGAGAAATTGTGTAAAGCAGTGGCTCTCAAACTTTAATATTCATCCAACTCCCCTGAAGGGCTTGTTAAAACACAGATTTCAGGGACTCCTAATCTTTGATTCACTAAAAATAGAGTGGGGTCTGAGACTTTGTATTTCTAAGTTCCCAGATAATGGTGATGTTGCTGGGTGGAGAACCTCTCACTTTTGAGAAGCATAAGTCTAGACACTGACTCTTACGAGTACCACACAGGACAGAGATAGATCAGACCTCAAGAAGCTTGTGGTCTAGTAGGGAAGATATGATATTTACATAAATCACATACCATTGTGTCCTTAGAGGTGAACAGATAGGGTGAATGGAAAAAAGGAAAGGCAGACAACTTTCAGTCTGTGAGATTAGGGAGCTTTTGTGGAGGAGATGGCAAGTGGCTGGGCCTTGAGATATGAGTAGAATTTAGAAATGCAAACTGTAGGATGAAAGGGAAAAAATATTCAAGAATATAAATGAGATAATACCATTATCACACCTAAAGACATTAACATTAATTGATTAATGTATTTAAAAGCTGTAAAAGAAATCCTCATTTTTGACATTTATGAGACAATTTAAAAATTGTACCTAGAGTAGTCAGATTCATAGAGACAGAAAGTAGAATGGTGGTTGCCAAGGTGTGAGGGGAGGAAAGACAGATTTGTTATTTGATGGGCAGAGTTTTTAATAAAAAGAGTTCTGGAGATGAATAGCGGTGATGGTTCCATAATGCTGTGAATACACTCAACATCCTTTTACTGTACACTTAAAAATGGTTAAGATGGTAAATTTTATGTTATGAGTATTTTACCATAATAAAAATAACCTGGATATTTTTCTGACTATATTGAATGTTTTCTCAGTGCTTGGGAAATGTAGTCTTTTTTCCTCTGAAGCTCTGATATCCTTCATCTTTTATTTTTAATTTTAATACTTTTATTGAGTTATAATTTATATACTATAAATTATAGTATATAATTCCTCATTATATTTAGTATATTTATAAAGTTGCCAGTAATTGACAAAAACCAGTTTCAGAACATCTCCAGCACCCCAGAAAGTTCCTTCATGCATGTTGGCAGTCAGTGCCTGGGTCTGCTCCCAGCCCGATGCAAAAACTGAACTGCTCTCTGTGTCTGGGAATCTGCCTTTTCTGGTTATTTTATGTAAATTAAATCATAGTATATGTAGTCTTTTGCACCCGGATTCTTTCACTTAGCATAATGTTTTTGAGTAGTTTCTCATGAATAAATGCTTCTTAGTTTGCTGCAATCTGTTAGTCAACTTCCAGGTCACTTAAATTGTTGTTTTTGATAATTTGGTCCAGTTTTATAGTTTCTTTTTGGGGGATAAAATTTGGTGACTTCCTTCTACCACACAGATCCAAACCACATCAGACCTCCAGCATAGTGGTGGGAGGGGATTGGATCATGAGGGTGGATTTCTTATGAATGGTTTAATACCATCCTCTTGGTACTGTCTTTGTAACAGTGAGTGAGTTCTCATGAGATCTGGTCATTTAAAAATGTGTGGCACCTCCCCCTCCTCCTGACCTCTCTTGCTCCTGCTTTGGCACATGAAGTACCTTCTCCCCATTCGCCTTCTGCCATGATTGGAAGTTTCCTGAAGCCTCCCTAGAAGCAGATGCTGCTCTTCTTCCTGTACAGCTTGCAGACCATGAGCCAATTAAACCTCTTTTCTTTATAAATTACCCAGTCTCAGGTGTTTCTTTATAGCAATGTGAGAACAGACTGATACAAGGTCCCAGCCCTTCCTCCATTTTATTTTATTTTTTTAATTCTAGGAAGGAGATGAAAGAGTCCAAGTGTAACCTGGCATTGACTCCACTTTGTATACTGTACTTTATAGCAATTGTCAGAAAACTTGCTTTCTTAAATCATCTATTGCAGTGTTTGACACAGGCCATTCAGAAATCTAGAAGATTGAAAGTTTCTGTTCAAGAATCTTTTCATTTTCAATATTGTAGGTCCTCAACCTGGAATCTGCAAGAAGAGACTCCTCTTTTGAATTCATAGTAACTTTTAATTTTTCAATTTTCTCAGTGAATGGATGTTGAAAATATAAATGTGAATGTCAGCATAAATGTGAATGTCGTAAAGAGAACCTTATACTTACAGGTGGGGAACTTATAGTCTAAACCATGGCATTATTCACGATCATTCCTATCTTTAGCTCTGCCCCCCAAGATGCAAAGTATCTACCCAGCAAGTGTATGTGTAATAGAGGACAATGATCTTTTATCCTTATACGCCATTATCATTCACCCTTTGGAGAAAGAATTAAGTTTTCAGGGGAGGAGCAATGGAGCATTCAATCTGAGCAAGACTATAACCACCATCCAGAAACACCTCCAGCCTGGGAACATGTGGCATCTTTCTATTCCCCACCCTGCAGAAACCCAACCCTGGGTCACAGACCGTATATCCCAGAGAAGGCAGTGCTCAGCTCAGTACCTGGCACAAAATAGAAACTCAATAAACCCTGGTTGGTTTGAAATGAAAGGTATGTAAGTATGGTGGTGGTGGTCATGGTGGAGTTGTGTGAATGATAATGGGTCGGGGGGTCTGTTTTCCCCTTTTTAATGCTGAGAAAGCTGAAGGCCCTATTCTGTGTACTGAGCAGAAAGAAGAGCTGGTTGTCTCTAGCTATCCTTGGGGATTAGAGAGAAATTATTCAGCCAGTCTTTCAGAAATGAAAATTTTGACAAACGACAAACTTCTTCCTCACATCCTGGTTGGGGAGGAGCACTCACAGAATAAAAAACAATAGACAACCTGAGGCTGCCCTAAAAACAGCACATTGGTAGGGCAATCACTCCCCTCAGCTGAAGACCCAAAGAGAGCAAGAATCTTCACTGAACAGTCTGATAAAGACCAGTGTATAAACCCAGTGAGGAATTCATCAACATGGTACCAAATCAGCCCTCTTCCATGAATCTTCTTAAATACTGTCTTCACTAATTTGGTACTGAGAAAACCCTAAAAATGAGTACCAGCACTCAATCAGCTGAAATTCTGAGATGCTCAACTCATAAAATTTTGCTTTAAGGTAAATAGTATCAGATATATAAAATTAGAAGTTCTTGGGAAAATATTTGCAAATGAAAGGAGATTTATCATAGTAAACTCTATGTCTAACTGTATTAATAGCAGTCTCTAGGCTGCAAGGTGACTTTTGGGTATATTGTGAAGTGTTAAATATTCATAATAACTTGTCCTGATTTCATAGGTCTTAATTTAGTTCTTGGATAAAGAATGGCTAATATCTGGTCCTCTGAGAATGTTTTTTACATATTTACTTCTTGTTGGTGTTTGTATTGTTGATGAAAATGAAAAGAAACTAGTATAGTAAAGACCTTTTGGTGTATAATAAGAGGCTTTATTTTCACAAACATATCATAGTCTAAGATTAAAATAATAACTTTGACTTCATTATTTTAGCCAACTTTATTTTCCATTCTTCAGAAAGCATATTCTCTAGGTTCTTTCCCTAGTTTTCTTTCTTCCTCAGCTTTACCAAGAAGGATTCAAATACCGAATCTATGTCACCTTTCAGAGTTTCTGGACAACGCTGATTCCCTGCAGCTTGTCTACTCTGGCAAATCCTAGTTGAATACCTTGTGCCTCATTCCTGTCCTCAAGGAAATAGCAGGTGATTTTGATAGTGCTCTAGTTTCTTCCACTTCTGCAAGATAGTAACATAGTGTTCTATTAGGCCTCAAAAACATTGTTAGAGAAGCTGGGGGAGTAGAAAAGAAGGAATATTTTTGTAAGCAGTAAAAACCTATTCTGAGGACCATCTGAATGTTTCTGCCCACTCACAATTGAAGTCAACTTTACAAGGTGAATACAAAGAAGAGGATGTATTTGTTGCAAAAGATACGATTAAAGGTCAATATCTGTATTTGTTCCAGAAACCTTTATTTGAAGCCGATAAATGACTTGTCGTGGGCGAGCCCTTCGGGTGCTATTAATACTTTCGGGTCACAGCGGAGACTCTGGCTGTTGTTCAGAAAAGAACTACGAATCCCAGAATGCCCTGTTCCCCCATTTTCCCCTCGAGAATCCAAGGGTGAGTTCAACCAATCCTGTCAAGGAGAGCCTGCGCTATCGGCCAATCAGAAGGCCAGCCTGCGCCTGGAGGCGGGTGGCGGGAAGTGCACTAGGTTTGAAATCGGAAAGTTGGCGGGGCTGCGGGAGCTGAGCCTAGAGTCCGGCTGTTGGCTAGAGTGGGCGCGGATCTGGTGTGGGGAAGGCGGCGGGACTCAGGCCTGCCTGCGAAGGTAAGGGAGTTGGGCGCCGAGCTGGGCTCCTTGGCCCCCCTGTCGCAATAAGGGAAAGTGAATTTGAGGGCGGGATGTGTGTATTTGCGGCGGCGTTTGTGAAATGCGCATCTTGTTGCTGTTTGGGCCTCACAGCCTGGTGGGGTGGGCAGCTGCGAACCCAAAGCGTTCTGGGTTTCACTGCAGGAGGTATCTTTGGTCCTCCTGGGAAGGTTTTAGCGTCGCAGAGTACTGGTGGGTCCAGGATTCTCCCAGGACCTCCTTTTACAGAGGATACTGAGGCCCGAGGTGACTTGTATACATCCTCGACGGAACCTACTAAACTCCCACCTTAGTCCCTATTTTACTGTTAACTTTTACTGTTCTGAGGTGGAGGAGAGAGACAGGATAGATGTGTGGGGTCTTATTCTATGGGAGGGTGCCGGCCACCTGGCTATCCTGATGATCTCTGTTCAGAAAGGGTTAGAGTTGGATCAGGGGTTTCAGAAGTCAACAGTTTTACTTGTGAGAAAATGGACCCAGGGTCATAGTGCGTGTGAGTGTCCTGTGCAGTTACACTTACCTACTAACAAGCTGCTAGGAGGTAAAGGTGTCCTGAATTATTGCTGCACGTTAACAACAGTTAAGCCCAGGTGGCTTGATCTACCCTTGAATACCTAGAATTAAAGATAAGTTGCTATTTTCTAGCAAAGGACAAATTGCCAAAATACTGTATACCCGATTGGAATATGTGGGTGATTTGATTTCAGTAACTTAAAAAATGCAATATGTATTCTGTTTTTAGCATTGTCCTACATAATGGTAGAGGACGAACTGGCACTTTTCGATAAAAGCATAAATGAATTTTGGAATAAATTCAAAAGTACGGACACCTCCTGTCAGATGGCGGGACTAAGAGATACCTACAAGGATTCCATCAAAGCATTTGCAGGTACCTAGTGTTAACTTGTAACATGCTGGTTTTGCTGTTCTAGTTTATTTTTTAGTGTTATTGCAGCTGAATTGAAAGTTCAATTTCTCTTTCAGAAAAGCTGTCTGTGAAATTAAAGGAAGAAGAACGAATGGTTGAGATGTTTCTGGAATATCAAAATCGTATGTGAAAAAGTATAAATCATGGGGTTTTTTTTAGATAAAACATCTTTATCATGAAATCTCTCATACAAGTAAGACAATGTATTTTGTGTACACAAGTGTGTATATGTTGTGTGTGTGTATATATATATGTGTATATATATGTATATATATGTGTATATATATATGTATATATATGTGTATATATATATGTATATATATGTGTATATATATACATATATGTGTATATATATACATATATATGTGTGTGTGTATATATATATATATACACACACACACACACACACACACACACACACACGTACATGTAGTGGCTCATGCCTGTAATCCCAACACTTTGGGAGGCCAAGTTGGGTGGATCCCTCGAGCTCAGGAGTTGAAGACCAGCCCAAGCAACATGGTGAAACCCTGTCTCTACAAAAGATTTAAAAAAAAAATTAAAAATTAAAATATATATATATACATATATATAGACACATACACACACAAATACATACACATTAACACATATACATGTGCTTATATATAGGAATAAACATTGACATACTATACAGTTTAAGAAAGAACATCCTATGTTACACCTTCTCCCACCTTCCACAACTAACCTATCAATATATTGTTTAGTATTGTGGGGGTTTTTTGTGTCATTTTTTGAGACAGGGTCTCACTTTGAGACAGAGTCTCGCTCTGTTGCCCAGGCTGGAGTGCAGTGGCGCGATCTTGGCTCACTGCAAGCTCCGCCTCCTGGGTTCACGCCACTCTCCTGCCTCAGCCTCCCAAGTAGCTGGGACTACAGGCGCCTGCAACCACGCCTGGCTAATTTTTTGTATTTTTAGTACAGACAGGGTTTCACTGTGTTAGCCAAGACGGTCTCAATCTCCTGACCTCGTGATCTGCCTGCCTCAGCCTCCCAAAGTGCTGGGATTACAGGCGTGAGCCACCGTGCCTGGTGACAGAGTCTCACTTTGTCAGCCAGGCTGGGGTGCAGTGGCATGATCTAGGCTCATTTCAGCCTCGACCTCCTCGGCTCAAGTGATACTCCCACTTCACCCCCTAAGTAGCTGGGACCACTGGTGCACACCAGCATGCCTGGCTAATTTCATATTTTTTGTAGAGATGGGGTTTCACCATATTGTGCAGGCTGGTCTTAAACTCCTGGGCTCAAGCAGTCCGCTCACTTTGGCTGCCCAAAGTGCTAGGATTTCGGGTGTGAGCCACCATGCCTGGCCTCTAGTATTGTGTTTTTGAATGTTATATAAATGGCATTCTCTTGTATGTCTTCTGTCCATTTTTTCACTCAGCACTATACTTGTGAGATTTGTCAGTGTTAAGGTATAAATGCCAGTATTTTTTAAAAGATGAGTTTGTTTTCACGTTGGAAATCACAGCCTGGGGATTGAAAAGCTAGAGTTCTCTCAGCTCTGTTAGTACTCTGACAGTGTTTTTCTCCATATTTTTACTACTATTCTTGCCATCTTATTTCTACTACTCTCCAGGTTGTCCAGAGTAAACCAGTAGTTTTTACTGAATTCTTACACACAGGACACAAACATGTGTCCACAGTTCAAATTCCACTAGAGATACTTGGTTTAAAGGCACCATGTTTTAAACAATATTAGACTAGAATGTCCTTACATGGGGCATATGTTCTTTCATTTGCAAAATGGGTAGCCTTGACTTACCCACTTTACTCATTGTGTGGCCCATGAAGGCATTTGACTTTGTTACCCCAGTAGGTTATTTGCTACACTTTTACCCATGTTTACTTTCTTTCTTTATTTTCTTTCTTTCTTTTTTTTTTTTTGAGATGGAGTCTCGCTCTGTTGCCCAGGCTGGAGTGCAGTGGCATGATCTCGGCTCACTGCAACCTTTGCCTTCTGGGTTCAAGTGATTCTCCTGCCTCAGCCTCCCAAGTAGCTGAGACTACAGGTGCGCACCACCACGCACCACTAATTTTTTGTATTTTTAGTAGAGATGGGGTTTCACCGTGTTAGCCAGGATGGTCTCAATCTCCTGACCTTAGGTGATCTGCCCACCTTGGCCTCCCAAAGTGCTGGGATTACAGGCATGAGCCACTGCAACCGGCCTACCCATGTTTACTTTCTAATCTGCCCTGAAGCTTCCATGCCCTTCACTGCTTCTCTCATTCCCTCTGTAACCATAAGCAAAAAAGAAAACCACTTTTGTTTGCATGTGTGTGTGAAAGAGTGATATTGAGTTTGGGTTCTTTAAAACTTCTTTGTAGGATCCCTAGGCATTAGAAAATTAAGTTTGGAACTGTCAGTTTTACTGCTGTGAGTCTCAAACTGTGCTCTTAAAGATTATCTATAGTATGAAGTTATGCTCTATATAGTCTAAAATCTAAAAGCATTATCAATATTTTTCTTTTAAAAATCAGTTTATACTTGGCCGGGCGGGGTGGTTCACGCCTGTAATCCCAGCACTTTGGGAGGCTGAGGCGGGCGGATCACGAGGTCAGGAGATCAAGACCATCCTGGCTAACACGGTGAAACCTTGTCTCTACTAAAAATACAAAAAATTAGCTGGGCCTGGTGGCCGGCGCCTATGGTCCCAGCTACTCTGGAGGCTGAGGCAGGAGAATGGCGTGAACCTGGGAGGCGGAGCTTGCAGTGAGCCCAGATCGCGCCACTGCACTGCAGCCTGGGCGACAGAGCAAGACTCCATCTCAAAAAAAAAAAAAGAAATCAGTTTATACTTGAACAGAAATACAGTTTACTCAAGTTTAATTAATTCAATGAACATATGACTGCTATTGCCCACCACTAAGGAGACAACAGTGCATAAAGTATAATCTACTCACAATATTGTGGGGGATATAGATAGGGAAACCACAATTAAAATATATTGTTCCAGGCTCGATGGCTCAAGCCAAAGTAATCCCAGCACTTTGGGAGGCTGAGGCAGGAGGATTGCCTGAGTCCAGGAGTTCAAGACCAGCCTGGGCAATATAGTGAGACCTTGTCTCAATAAAAATTAAGGAAAAATTAGCCAGGTGTGGTGGTGGGCACCTGTAGTCCCAGCTACTCAGGAGGCTGAGACAGGAGGATCGCTTGAGCCCAGGAGATTGAGGTTACAGTGAGCCGTGATCATGCCACTTCACTCCAGCCTGGGCGACAGAGTGAGACCCTGTCTCCAAAAAAAAAAAAAAAAAAAAGATTGTATTCGTTGTTAGAATAATGTAATAGATGCTGTGTGAGGATAGAATCTGGAGGGTTTGGTTCTTCCAGTGAGGAATGCAGGATATTTAATAGCTAACCATTACCTTGTATACCATGTGCTAAGCCCTGTTCTAAGCTCTTTGCATATATTGACTCATGAATCCTCACAACAACCCTAAGAGGTATAGATACTGCTTTTTTATGACAAAATAAGCACAGAGAGGTTAAGCAACTTTCTCAAGGTCAGATAGCTGATAATGAACAGAAATATGATTTGAACCTGCGGTCTGATTATACCACACTACTTTGGAGAAAATCACATAAAGGAGGGTTAGGGATGTTCAACAGAGTCAGCATTACATTCTGGGAAGAGGGAACAGCACATGGAATATGGCAGGAACATGAGAGCTTGTTAAGTTCTGGGATGGCTAGAGTACCCTGTGGATGGGGAGTGGTGGAGAAGTGGCTGGAAGAACTCGTTGGCCAGATGATGGACATTCCATGTTGTGCAAAGGGGGTTAGACTTTGTTTTTCAGGAGATAAAGAGTTGCTACAGGATTTCAACCTGGAAAATGATATTGGATTTATATGCCAGAAGAAGCAATCTAGTAATCATGCACAATAAACAGGAGGGGAGTGAGATTGTTGTCCATAAAGAGACCAGTTAAAGGAAAAATTTAGTGTAATAGTACAGGCACATAATGAGTATGGCTTGGACCAGTGACAGGTCTGAAGAGTTAGACTCAAGACTGTGGGCCTGAAGGTGAGAGTATGCTGTGGTCTAGGATGATTCCTTCTGACATGGAGTATGAATCAGTGGTGATGCATTTACTAAGTGAGGGATTGAAAGAGAGGAGGAGCATGTTTTTATAGGTGGGAAGGAAACATATGTGGGTTCAATTTTAAACATGTTGGGTGAATATGCTGAGTTTATTGTGCAGCAAGTCTTCAGGTGGCGATATCTGATAGGCAATGGATATATTCATCTGGAAGCCAGCCAGAAAAGTGGTCTTTGCTGAAGATAGGGATTTGTGAGTCTTTAGTGTATTTAGGGGGTTGAAGCTGTGGAAGAATATGTAGAGTGAAAGAAGGTAGCCTTGGTTAGTAATAATATTTATTTACTCATTACTGTGTGCCAGGTACTGTGCTAAATGCCTTACATTGACCACCTCCTTCAGTCCTCATGATAGTTCTCCAGGGTTGGTATCATTTATTATTATTATTCCTACTTTTCTGATATTGCAGTCCCAGAGAGATTATGATTTGCCCCAGATCATCAGATTAACTCCAGAAGCCTTACTCATCTTCAGAGCATTACATTTCCTCTCCAATTTGAGAGAGTTAAATGGAAACGACCAGGAAAGACAGAATTCGTAATTGGAGAACAGAGGAAGTAAGAGAGAAGGTCACCAAAACTAAAAGAGGAGAGAAATAATAAAGGGTGTTGTTAACACTGTAAGTCACAGGTAGATCCAGTAAGGTAAAGATTGAGATAGATATTTTGGGAACAAGAAAGATGGAAGGAATTCATTCACTGACCAAATACTTGTTGAGCTACTGCTGTATACCAGGTAATCTTCTAGGAAGATACTGCAGAGAACAAAATAGCCTAAAGTTCTGGAGCCATAAATTCTAATTATCACAAGAAGGAAGATCATCTATTGAAAGTGAGAGGTATTTACTATGGGCAGGCTTTTACATTATTATAAATCCTGAAGTCTGTCTAAGACAGAGATTATCCCTGTTTTACAGATGAGGAAATTGAAGCTCACTGAGGTTAAGAAACTTGCCTAAGGTAAATAGAGGATCTAGGATCACAATGATAGTGTCTGTGCTCTTTCCATTGTGCTATACTGACGTGCATTGGAGTGAAAATGCAAAGAAGGGTTCCTCTGGTGTGTAGGAGTGAAAGTTTGAAATGTCGGTCCTGGGAATAAGACAGCCTGCTATGTACACATGTAATAATAGTCACACAGCAGGCCAGGTGCAGTGGCTCACACCTGTAGTCCTAGCAATTTGGGAGGCCGAGGCAGGCGGATCACGAGGTCAAAAGATCAAGACCATCCTGGCCAACATGGTGAAACCCCATCTCCACTAAAAATATAAAAATTAGCTGGGCGTGGTGGTGAGTGCCTGTAGTCCTGTCTGCTCAGGGGGCTGAAGCAGGAGAATTGCTTGAACCCAGGAGGCGGAGGTTGCAGTGAGCTGAGATTGCACCACTGCACTGCAGCCTGGCGACAGAGCGAGACTCCATCTCAAAAAAAAAAAAAGAAAAAAAAATGGTCATACAGCATCGAGGACTCCTATATTTGTATTGGCCACAAATCACACAGTTCTTCAAATGTTATAATAAAAACACTCTCATATGTGGTATTTATGTGTCACTAGTTTAAAAGTTTTTGTATTATTATTACTGGATACTCTAACCCCAGTGAATGAGGTAGCCAATGTTATCCCCATTTTACAAATGAGCAAAAGAGTTTCAGAAGTCGTGATTTTGACCGAGATCTTTGGGTAAGAACTGATAAGCTGAATCAGACTTGAGACCTTTGACTTTCAATCTGAATTTCTTGTGTAGTACAATTCTACTTAATTTTTTTCTTTAAATAGTAGCATTTTTCTTTCTAGTAAGATGTTTATTTTTAAATTATACTTGACGTAATATATGATCATGTTCATATTCTTAGAACATACAGAAAAGCAAAAAATATCACCTGTAATGTTGAGAACCATATTTAACAAAACAACTTTCTAGCTTTTGTTTTTCATGAGCTATGTAGGTTTTTAACGTAATTATATTCATGGTATCTATATAACTATCTTTTTTTTTCAACTTTGAGAATATTTTCCCACATTGCTAAATTGTTTTGAAAATACATTCCATCTTATCGATATACCATATTTTAAAAATCATTTGCTTGTTAGCCATTGAAGATGTTTTCAGTTTTTCATTATAAATACTGAAAAATAATTTTTATATATAAATATTTGCACGTATCCTATTTCCCTAGGGTAACTTTGTAAAAATGAAATTGCTGGGTCAAAGGAGGTAAATATTTTTAAGGCTCTTTTATTTTACAATGTCAAAAATATTTTCTAGAAGGACCCTAGCATTTTGCATTCCTCTCAATATTAGTAATTATTTCTGTAAACATTGTTGTAATAAATGAAAATTGAAATCTTACTGTTTTACTTGCATTTCTGTGATTAATCTGAGGTTAAATTATCTTTCATATTTATTAGCCATCTGCATTCTGTGTTTCATCTGTTTATCCCTTTGTCTGTTTTTTTCTTAGGAATTTGTATTTGTGTCTTCCTCTTGAGATTAAAATGGTAACCCATTGTTGGAGGAGGATAATTTAATGGGCAAAGCATTGCCTTTGAAGTCAAGACCTGAGTTTGAATGCAGTCTGTCTGTCTGTTTATTTATTTATTTATTTATTTTTGAGACAGGGTCTCGCCCTGTCACCAGGCTGGAGTGCAGTGGCGTGATCGCAGCTCACTGCAACCTCCGACTCCCTGGTTCAAGCTATTCTGCCTCAGCCTCCCTAGTAGCTGGAATTACAGGCACACGCCACCACGCCCAGCTCATTTTTGTATTTTTAGCAGAGACGAGGTTTCACCATGTTGGCCAGGATGGTCTCGATCTCCTGACCTCATGATCCGCCAGCCTGAGCGTTGCAAAGTGCAGGGATTACAGGCGTGAGCCGCCATGCCTGGCCCTTATTATTTATTTTAGCCTAGCAAATACAGCTTTGGGCAAGTTACTGAACTGCTGAGTGTTTTTCCTCTTCTTTTAAAAAAGTAGTAAAAGACTAAAGAATTTATTTTGGATTTCGGCACTGTTTAGAGAATAATCTACCTCTTGAACATTGATTTGATATTTCATTTATCATATTAACTTCCTAACTGCCAACGTTTGTTTGGCATATCTTTTATAATATTTAGAAGCATAAAATATCTCTTCATATATCCAGATCAAATATGTGTCTCAGACAAGCTTTGCAGTTTTTTTCAAACAGAGCCTACATATTTCTTGATCTAGGTTGATTCTGAATTTTCTGTTTGTTACCTCTGTAAACGAGATTTTCCTGTTGCCTGAGGAATGCTTGTCTTGAGAGATGTTGTTCAAGCACTGAGAATTCCATGCTCACTTCAATTTGGGAAACATATCATAGTGTATTTCTCTTTTGAAGATTTATGGTATTTAAAGTCTTCATAAATTCAGTGATGGACTAACTTGTTTAACTTTGAGAAAAAGATTACTCATCCTTGGAGCACATATTTACTTGTAATTATGATACTGGAATTAAATGACAGTATAGATAGTTTGGTTTATTTGATACAATTCTAGACTACTGGCATTAATTGGCATTCGATTTTAAAGTGTTTAGATTTCATTTAAGTATTAGTAAAACTAAATCTTTAATTCAGAAATTCATAAGCACATTATAAAGCACCACTTGAGCTCTACTGGCTCTGCTTATTTGACCTCAGTAGCCTCTGCCCTAGAGCTCTTATGCTTTTTGTGCCTTCCTGCTTTGTCTAGCCCCCTGATTGGCATTTTGGGGACACCATCTCTGTGCAATGGGCCCCAAGTAGCAGCGGTTGTATCTTTCTTCCAACAAACAGAGGAAGAAGTGGTCCTGCCAGGGTTACTCCTTTCCCAGCAGAGAGGTTTGGCCAGGTTTATGCACAGGCATTGTTGTTTTTATTTTGAGCATGTGTGTGAGAAAGGGGTGGGTAGTTGCAGAAGCTGAGTGTTTAAGAGGGCTAGGGCAAGAAGAACTTGTACAGAGAGTGACAGGGACATGGGGAAGGCAGGGAAGGTAGAGAGATTAAAGCCAAGAAGGAGTAATGAGGTGCTGGCCAATATGTGAGACAGATGTAAAAGGCCAGTATTTTGGTACATGGATACCTTGTTTTATTGCACTTCACTTTATTGCACTTTACAGATATTGCAATTTTTACAAATTAAAGGTTAATGGCAACCATGTGTCAAGCAAGTCTGTGGGCACCATTTTTCCATCAGCATGTGGTGACTTCGTATCTGTCACATGTTGGTAATTCTCACAAGATTTCAAACTTGTCATTATTATATTTCTTGTGGTGCTCTATGATCAGTGATCTTTGACGTTACTATTGTAATTGTTTTAAGTGCCATGAATGACACCCATATAAGATGACAAACTTAATGGATAAATGTTGAATGACTTCTGACTGCTCTGCTGACCAGCCATTCCTGTCATTCTTCCTCTCCTTGGGCCTCCCTAGTCTCCAGTATTGAAATTAGGCCAATTAATAACCCTATAGTGACCTCTAATTGTTCAACTGAAAGAAGGAGTCATAGGTCTCTCACTTTAAATCAAAAGCTAGAAATGATTAAGCTTAGTGGGAAAGTGTGTCAAAAGCTGAGATAGGCTGAAAGCTTGGCCTCTTGCGCCAATTAGCAAAAGTGCTAATTCAGTGAACACACGAATGATAAGAAAGAGAAACAGCCTTATTGTTAGAGAAAATTTTAGTGGCCTTAATAGAAGAGCAAACAAACCACAACATTCCCTTAAGCAAAAGCCTAATTCAGGGTAAGACTCTAGCCCTCTTCAATTCTGTGAAGGCTTGAGAAAGATGAGGAAGTTTCAGAAGAAAAGTTTGAAGCTAGCAGAAGTTGGTTCTTGAGGTTTAAGGAAAGCAGCTGCCTCCATAAAATAAAAATGCAAGATGAAGCAGAAGTGCTAATGTAGAAGCTACAGCAAGTTATCTAGCTAAGATCATTGAATGAACAGATCATTAAAGAACGGATTTTTGATGTAGATGAAAAAGCAGTTTTCTATTGGAAGAAGATGCCATCTAGGACTTTCATAGCTAGAGAGAAGTCAAGGCCTGCTTTGAAGCTTCAAAGACAGGCTGACTCTTTAGTGACTAATGCACCTGGTGACTTTAAGTTGAAGCCTGTGCTCACTTGCCATTCCCCAAATCCTAGGGCCCTTAAGAATTATACTAAATCTACTCTGCCTATGTTCTATAAATGGAATAGCAAAGCCTAGATGACAGCACATGTGTGTATAGCATAGTTTACTGAATATTTTAGGCCCACTGTTGAGGCCTTCTACTCAGGAAAAAAGATGGCTTTCAAAATATTTCTGCTCATTAACAGTGCATCTGGTCACTCAAGAGCGCTGATGGAGATTAGTGTTGTTTTCATGCCTACTAAGACAACATCCATTCTGCAGCCCATGGATCAAGGGGTAGTTTTGACTTTCATGTCTCATTATTTAAGAAATAAGGTTATAGCTACCCAAATAGTGATTAACTCTGATAGATCTGGGCAAAATAAATTGAAAACCTTCCAGAGAAAGGATTCACCATTCTAGATGCCATAGAACATTCGTGATTCACAGGAAGAGGTCAAAATATCAACATGAACAAGAGCTTGGAAGAAGTTGATTTTAACCCTCATGGATGACTTTGAGAGGTTCAAGACTTCAATGGAGAAAGTAACTACAGATGTGGTAGAAATCACAAGAGACCTAGATTTAGAAGTGGAGCCTGAAGATGTGACCGAATTGCTGCCATCTCAGATAAAACTTGAATGGATAAGGAGTTGCTTCTTATGGATAAGCAAAGAAAGTGGTTTTATGGAATGGAATCCACTCCTGGTGAAGATGCTGTGAACATTGTTTAACTGACAACAAAGGATTTAGACTATTATATAAACTTAGTTGATAAAGTAGCGCAGGGTTTGAGAAGACTGACTCCAATTTTGAAAACAGTTCTACCAGGGGTAAATGCTGTCAAACATCATTGTATGCTGCAGAGAAATCTTTCATGAAAGAGTTGATTAATGCAGCAAACTTTATTGTTGTCCTATTATAATAAATTGCCACAGCCACCCCAACCTTCAGCAGCTACCACTCTGATCAGTCAGCAGCCATCAACATCAAGGCAAGACCCTCCCCCTGCAAAAGTTTAGGACTTGCTGAAGGCTCAGATGATTATTAGCATATTTTAGCAATAAAATATTTTTAATTAAGATATGTACATTTGTTTTTTAGCCATAATGCTATTGCACGCTTAATAGACTACAATATAGTGTAAAATAACTTTTCTATGTACTGGGAAACCAAAACATTTGTGTGACTTGCTTTATGGCAATATTCGCTTTATCACAGTGATCTGGAATAGAACTTGCAATATCTCCAACGTATGCCAGTACTTAAAAATAGCACAGAATAGCAAAAACTAATAAAACCAATAAAAACAAAGAACAAAAACGAATATTGCAGCTATTAATATTAGTATAAACATCTATTCTTACCTATGTATTAATCACTGGTGTTATGTACAAAAACTATTGATTTTTTTGGGGTGTAGTACCACAAATTCTGATAGGTTTTCAGTAGATTTTTCTGAGTATTCTAGATAGATGTCTATTGTCTACATATAATGAAAAATAGTTCTTGTTTTTTCCTTATAGTTTTACCAGCTAAATATCTTGTCTTGGCCAGAAACTTCTAGGGAAATATTAAATAACAGTGCTAACTGGCATCTATTTTATTCCTTTTGGAAATGCCAAATATATATGATGAGATTTGAAAGGTTTTTGATTTGTTTCTATCATGTTAAATGTCCTTCCATTTATAGTTAAGAATAGTCAGGAGTGGATGCTGAATTCATATGAAATGTCTCTTCAATTCTTATTCATGTGATGGATTTTCCTAATATTACACCTTCACTATGTAAAATCCTTGGTATAAACTATATTTGCTCTTAGTGGATTATTTTTAATGTAACTTAATATTTTATTGAGCATCTTTGCACCTATGTTTTTAAGTGAGATTAGTTTATATAGTTGTGGGCAGAGGGCCAGTGCTATCTTTAATTTTTTGTTTTAGCTTTAGAATTATGCTTACATTGTAAGCTTTGCCTGCCCACCTGTCTTCCTTCACTTATTTCTGTCTTTTGGTATGTTCCGGAATAATTTATATAGCATTAGAGTGAGGCTTTTCCTCAAAGCACTGTTTAAAACCATCTTCTAGAGTTTGGTTGTTGGCCAGGCGTGGTGGCTTGCACTGGTAATCCCAGCACTTTGAGAGGCTGAGGTAGGAGGATTGCTTGAGCCTAAGAGTTTGAGACTAGCCTGGGCAACATAGTGAGACAAAAAAATTTAAAAATCAGCCAGGCGTGATGTGGTGTGTGCCTGTAGTCCCAGGTACTAGGGATGCTAAGGTGGGAGGCTGCAATGAGTAGTGATTGTGCCACTGTATTCCAGCCTGGGCAACAGTGAGACCCTGTTTCAAAAAAATATAAAAATAAAATAAATAATAGAGTTTAGTTATCTTTGTTGGTAGTTTTTATTTCTGTGCTTATTTGGAGTGGGGAGCTGCAAGGGTCATGATCTTTTGATTTTCTGTTTCTTGATTTAATTTGGTATTCTCATTTTAAGAAGCTTTTCTGTCTCATTTTTTTTAAAGATGAGTAAGTAGGAAAGAATAGATTAGGTTTTTTTTCTTTTTTGTCTTTTATAATTTTGAATCATTAGAAAATGCTTATCAGTCAAAACATTCTTTATTAATCTTTATGAAAGTCAGTAAACTTTGGCCTTTTCTTAGATACATGTCAGAGAGCCAAGCATATTCTAGCTAATACCTTGTGCTTCTTACAGAGATCAGCAGGCAAAATAAGCTCATTCAAGAAAAAAAGGATAACTTGTTAAAATTGATTGCTGAAGTAAAAGGCAAAAAGCAGGAATTGGAAGTACTGACTGCAAATATCCAGGATCTTAAGGAAGAATATTCTAGGAAGAAGGAAAGTAAGTTTCCTCTTATAAACATACTGATCTAAAATGGAAAGTGGTGACGGTTCACCTTTATTAAGTACATCTTGCCTGTTCCAGTTCATTGCTAAAAATGGATTACAGTACCCCAGGGCATAACCAGCCACTCATCTCTGCAAGATGTCATTAAAGTTAACTAACTGGGTTTTATTTTCTTTTGTCTTACTTAAAGGGCCTTCTCTTGTTATTTTTAATATAATCAGTAATAATGAAATTGATAGGAGGTTTTAATTAAGCAGAGTGAGAAATGGTGTCCCTAAATAAAATTTGCTTTGGACAAGCCATAGTGTACTTTATGCAACAAATATTTATTGACCATACATTCTCTGCCAGGTAATGTTAAGCGTTCTTTTTATGCTGCAAAATCTCTTATGTATAAAGAACTTTCATATTCAAATGAATGCATCTTTTAGAAAGGAGCCTTGTTTGCTCACAAACTAGGTAGTCTATTCTTCAAATCTGAAAATAGCAAAGTTTGTTTTGTAAATGCTTTTTCTTGTGGAGTTCTTATCCAAGTCTAAATTGTGAAATTATTTTTCTCATTACTTAGGGACTATTGTGCTACTTTAAAGTATATTTAGGGACTATTGTGCTAACTTAAAAAAAAAAAAAAGAAAAAACTAAACTAGCATGAAATAAGGCTGACCTCTCATAAGAAATAGTTATGTTAAAGGAAGAGAACATTTTCCCATGAAGCAATTGGTTATCTAGAAAAAAAGCACAGTAGTATAAATGAAGTCTATTTCTATGCCAGCCATACAAATCCCTGGCCTATTTACTTATGCTACTACATAATAAAGTAAGACAAGGCTTATTCTTCTCACTATCTGTATACATTTTCCTGAGCAGTTTTTCCTTCCAACTTGAATGAACAGAAGCTTCTTTTAGCCAACTGGTAGATATAGAAACAATAAATGGAAGCAGATTTATAGGCTTGGCATCATTTTATAGTTGATTTTAAGTTTAAAAAATTAACTCAGTGAGCATTAATTTGCTATTATTTAAAACATTTAATATTGTGTGTGTTTTTTAATCAGCTATTTCTACTGCTAATAAAGCGAATGCAGAGAGGTTGAAAAGGCTGCAGAAATCTGCAGACTTGTATAAAGATCGACTTGGACTAGAAATTCGAAAAATTTATGGTAAGTTTGTTAATATAAATAAAATATAGGAGATTACAAAAGTATGTCTTTTCTTAAGTAGAGGAAAATTTTAAAAATATTTTCAACTAAAATAATGACCACATTAACTTTTTAGAAAATAGGAAAAAATTACAATTTTTAAATTATTCTAATGTAGCTACTGATGCTGTAGTTATTTATCATTCGGTATTTTAATAAATGTATTTTTGGCATGATTGTCAACATGCAAATAATTTTTGTTCTTCCTATCAGCATTGTATTCTGAGCATTTCCTCAGTTGCTATAGTCTTCATAATGGTAATTTTTAAGTAGTGATGTAATAATTCATTCTATTAATATAGCATAATTTATTCAACCATTTACCTATTGTTTAGCACATATTTTGCTTCTACCAACATTTGGATTCTGCCATTTTTTTCAGTTTTAGAAATACAGTCATCCCCACTTATTCACGGTTTCTGTTACCCATGTTCAACCGTGGTCTGATGATATTAAATGGATGAGTATGGTACAATAAGATATTGTGAGAGGGAGAGAAGCTACATTAATATAACTTTTATTACAGTACGTTGTTGTAATTGTTCTGTTTTATTATTAGTTGTTGTTAATCTCTTTCTGTGCCTAATTTACAACATAAACTTTATCATAGGTATGAATGTATAGGAAAATACATAGTATGGACAGTCCCTGACTTATGATAGTTCAACTTACAATTTTTTGACTTTATAATCAGTTTATCAGGGTGTTAAATGCATTTTTGCCTTACAATGTTTTTGACTTTTGATGTGTTTATTGGCACATAATGCCATTGTAAGTCAAGGAGCATCTGTTTACATAGTGTTTGCTACTATCTACGGTTTCAGGCATCTGTTGGGGTCTTGGAACATATTTCTCCCTGGTGGATAAAGGGGGACTATTGTAAACCAGTGAGCATAGACTTTCCCATTTTCTTTGCATGGTTTTTCATAGAATTGTTTCCCAGAGAGGAATTAGTAGGCTAAAACACATGAATATTTTGATGCCTGTTGCATGTATATCACATGTACATCGCTAATGTATGGCAATGTCTGTTGTGTCTGGGCTTCCCAAGATCACTCTCAGGTTTGGTGATTCACTAGAAGGAATTAGCATATAGTCATATTCATAGCTAAGATTTACTGCAGCAAAAGGATACAGAACAGAATCAGCAAAGAAACAATAGCACGTGGGGCAAAGTCTACAGGAAACCTGGCACAAGCTTTCAAGAGTGCTAACCCAGTAGAGTCAAACAGGATGTGCTAATTCCTTCAGCATCAAATTGTGACAACACACGTGAAGTGTTGTCTACCAGGAAGCTCATTAGAGGTTCTGGACGCTTATGCCTGGTTCTCCTTGGACTTTACTCCATGTACCTTTTCCCTTTGCTGATTTCGCTATATCCTTTTGCTGTAATAAATCATAGCCCTGAGTATGGCCATATGCTGCTGAGTGAATCCTATGAGTTCTCCTAGTGAATCATAAAAAAGACCACAGCAGCCAAGTTCATTCCATTTTATGGCTGAACAATGTTCCATTGTATGTGTGTACTATATCCATTCATCTGTTGGTGGGCACTGGGTTATTTCCACTTTTTGGCTACTATGAATAATGCTGCTATGAACATTGGCATACAGTTATCTACTTGAGTCTCCGTTTTCAATTCTTTCAGCTCTATACTTAGGAGTGGAATTGCTGGGTCATATTGTAATTCTGTATTTAAACTTTTTGAGGATCTGCCAAACTGTTTTTCACAGTGGCTGTACCATTTTACATTTCTACCAGCAATGTGCTAGGGTTCCAGTTTCTCCACATCCTCACCAACACTGTTATTTTCCATTTATTTATTTGCCATCCTACTGGGTATGAAATGGTATCTCATTGTAGTTTCGGCTTGCATTTACATAATGACTAATGATGTTGAGCATCTTTTTGTGGACTTAATGGCCATTTTTATATATTCTTTGGAGAAATGTCCTTTCAGATTTTTTGCCCATTATTGAATTGGGTGGTTTTTAGTTGCAGGAGTTCTAAATACATTCTATGTATTCAACCTTTATCAGATAAATGATTGCAAATATTTTCTCCCATTCTTTAGGTTGTCTTTTCCTTCTCTTGATAGTGTTCTTTGAAGGACAAAAGTTTTTAATTTTAACAAAGTCCAATTTATCTAGTTTTTCTTTTGTTGACTGTATTTTTGATGTCATATTGAAACTATAATATATTTTAAAACGAATTTGTAACTTCTGCATTTGGAAATGTTGGTTACATGACTGTATATACTTAGCAGTGCAGATATTGATCAAAGATGGAGTAAGAAAGGGTATCTCCATTGAAAGCTTTGACACACTAAATAGTTTAATCTCTTTTCAGGTGAGAAATTGCAGTTTATTTTCACTAATATTGACCCTAAGAATCCTGAGAGCCCATTTATGTTTTCCTTACATCTCAATGAAGCAAGGGACTATGAAGGTATGTACTAATATCTCCTAACTGGTATTTAAGATTGGCGTTCCAAAATGTTATTTCAATCAGCATATAAAGTAATATGGAGGAAAGTAATAGCTCCAGACTCTATTGCTTCCTTTTTCAGTCTTGCTTCTTGGAGTATAGTCTTCTAAAGGAAGTGAATATAGTCTTGATTTATAGATACTGTCTAAGATCCTTAATAAGTAGCATCTCTTCAGGATGGCACAGTGCCACAGTGTCTGAACAATCTAAAAACAAAGATCATTGCATTTATGTGCAAATATGAATTGTCCTTTTAGATAACTTTTTTAAAAGGTGAAGCTTTAAAGAAAATGGCTGCTTAAATGTGAATATTAGAATTTATCCAAGTAGATGATTTTAAAATCAAATGTAAAGTCACCAGAATTTAACAATTTATTTTCCCAAAAATAATTTTTGAAATACGAATCCTGCAAATCTCACACATTGATAATAAAGGTTAGTTACTGATTCTGCAGCTGGCCAAAAGGCCTTTGATTTATAAGGAATATATATTATTGATAATAATGTGAACAAGAAGAGAATAGAAATATATTTATCTCTTGTTTATTCTTCTAATGCCCCTGTACAAGTAATCCTTAATTTATTGGAATTCATAAAAATGGTTCTCAGCTCATTACACCTATGCTATCATCTTAAAGCCTTTGTAGCTGACAGACACTCAGGTGAACTGCTGAGCTGGCACAGCGCTGTGCCCTGGTGACTCAGTTCCTATTTCTGGGGAATTTATATTTTGAGAATCTGATTTCTTATACAGATGTTTGGGTTTTTTTCTCTCTAGATAAATATCTTCCAATCTAATTAGTGCTAGATTTTAAAAAGCAAGCCCCAAAAACCTCTTATTTAGCTTTTCAATTTTCTCTAAATTGGATATTCTCTTATGGTATAATCTGATAGTACATGATAGTATATTAAAATAGAATATACAGGATACATTTTGGACCAGATGCCCTTTGCTGTTGTTTCTCTGCTGTGGTCATGGACCTTGTTTCCTAAGCAATCTGTACAAGAGAGCTGGAAATCTGATAATGGGTGAATTTCTTTTCCTTTGACCACCTTCACTGGAGACTTGTCCCAGTGTACCAGCTGGTACAACTACATACAAGGACAATACTGTTATTCGTGACTTTGAGTCTCATTTGATTAATAGCCCCTGTAAATACCACTCTTGGAATAGCAACCACATTTTCTAATGCCTGCCATTTCACTTGGAAAATTCTAGATATTTCTTTCATAATTGTAAGTTATTAAGGCTGGGCATTGAAAACTGTTCTTTTTTCAGGCTGGGCATGGTGGCTTACGCCTGTAATCCCAGCACTTTGGGAGGCAGAGGCAGGCGGATCACTTGAGGTCAGGAATTCAAGACTAGCCTGGGTAACATGGTGAAACCCTGCCTCTACTGAAAATACAAAAGTTAGCTGGACATGTTACCTTTAATCCCAGCTACTCAGAAAGCTGAGGCAAAAGAATTGCTTGAAGCCAGGAGGCAGTTTGCAGTGAGCTGGGATCTCACCACTGTACTTCCAGGCTTGGTGACAAATCAAGAATCTGTCTCAAAAAAAAAGAAAATTGTTCCTTTTTTTTTTTTAATTCCAGTGGTCAGAAATGAAAAGTCAGTCAGACCAAAGTGTTGCAGATAAAAATGACTTAACAGTTTTTAAAAAAAGTTTAAATAGTTAAAACAAAATATATAAGTTTAAGATGATGGGCAGGGTCATTCTGTGTCACTAAACTCTTCGATCCTTCAGTGCCATCTGTTTAAATTTAAAGCAAGATTATAGTACTTAAGATTTGAATATTTAGAGATTAAACGAAGGAAAGGTCCAAAAGATATTTGGCATAGGAAAATCAAGTGTATCCTTTTTTGCTCAAAGAATTTCATTAAGATGGAATTGACATTCAAACCAGATGAGAGCATCTAGATTAGAAATACTTCTGTGCCATAAAAAAACTCATTCTAATTGTCTTTGATTTCTTTTTTTTTTTCTAGTGTCAGATAGTGCCCCTCATCTTGAGGGCCTAGCAGAATTTCAAGAGAATGTAAGGAAGACCAACAATTTTTCAGCTTTTCTTGCCAATGTTCGGAAAGCTTTTACTGCCACGGTTTATAATTAACATACAAATAGTGTATATAAAAACGGTTTATTTTTCTTCTCTATTACATATCTCTTTTTTTTCTTGTTTTTATTATTATTATACTTTAAGTTTTAGGGTACATGTGCACAATGTGCAGGTTTGTTACATATGTATACATGTGCCATATTGGTGTGCTGCACCCATTAACTCGTCATTTCATTAGGTATATCTCCTAATGCTATCCCTCCCCGCTCCCCCAACCCACAACAGTCCCCGTTGTGTGATGTTCCCCTTCCTGTGTCCATGTGTTCTCATTGTTCAATTCCCACCTAGGAGTGAGAATATGTGGTGTTTGGTTTTTTGTCCTTTCGATAGTTTGCTGAGAATGATGGTTTCCAGCTTCATCCATGTTCCTACAAAGGACATGAACTCATCCTTTTTTATGGCTGCATAGTATTCCATGGTGTATATGTGCCACATTTTCTTAATCCAGTCTATCATTGTTGGACATTTGGGTTGGTTCCAAGTCTTTGCTATTGTGAATAGTGCCGAAATAAACATACGTGTGCATGTGTCTTTATAGCAGCATGATTTATAATCCCTTGGGTATATACCCAATAATGGGAGGGCTGGGTCAAATGGTATTTCTAGTTCTAGGTCCCTGAGGAATCGCCACACCAACTTCCACAATGGTTGAACTAGTTTACAGTCCCACCAACAGTGTAAAAGTGTTCCTATTTCTCCACATCCTCTCCAGCACCTGTTGTTTTCTGACTTTTTAATGATTGCCATTCTAACTGGTGTGAGATGGTATCTCATTGTGGTTTTGATTTGCATTTCTCTGATGGCCAGTGATGATGAGCATTTTTTCATGTGATTTTGGCTGCATAAATGTCTTCTTTTGACAAGTGTCTGTTCATATCCTTCGCCCACTTTTTGATGGGGTTGTTTGTTTTTTTCTTGTAAATTTGTTTGAGTTCATTGTAGATTCTGGATATTAGCCCTTTGTCAGATGAGTAGGTTGCAAAAATTTTCTCCCATTCTGTAGGTTGCCTGTTCACTCTGATGGTGGTTTCTTTTGCTGTGCAGAAGCTCTTTAGTTTAATTAGATCCCATTTGTCAATTTCGGCTTTTGTTGACATTGCTTTTGGTGTTTTAGACATGAAATCCTTGCCCATGCCTATGTCCTGAATGGTATTGCCTAGGTTTTCTTCTAGGGTTTTTATGGTTTTAGGTCTAACATGTAAGTCTTTAATCCATCTTGAATTAATTTTTGTATAAGGTGTAAGGAAGGAATCCGGTTTCAGCTTTCTACATATGGCTAGCCAGTTTTCCCAGCACCATTTATTAAATAGGGAATCCTTTCTCCATTGCTTGTTTTTGTCAGGTTTGTCAAAGATCAGATGGTTGTAGATATGTGGGATTATTTCTGAGGGCTCTGTTCTGTTCCATTGGTCTATATCTCTGTTTTGGTACCAGTACCATGCTGTTTTGGTTACTGTAGCCTTGTAGGATAGTTTGAAGTCAGGTAGCGTGATGCCTCTGGCTTTGTTCTTTTGGCTTAGGATTGACTTGGCAATGTGGGCTCTTTTTTGGTTCCATATGAACTTTAAAGTAGTTTTTTCCAATTCTGTGAAGAAAGTCATTGGTAGCTTGATAGGGATGGCATTGAATCTATAAATTACCTTGGGCAACATGGCCATTTTCATGATATTGATTCTTCCTACCCAGGAGCATGGAATGTTCTTCCATTTCTTTGTGTCCTCTTTTATTTCACTGAGCAGTGGTTGTAGTTCTCCTTGAAGAGGTCCTTCACATCCCTTGTAAGTTGGATTCCTAGGTATTTTATTCTCTTTGAAGCAATTGTGAATGGGAGTTCACTCATGATTTGGCTCTCTGTTTGTCTGTTATTGGTGTATAAAAATGCTTGTGATTTTTGCACATTGATTTTGCATCCTGAGAGTTTGCTGAAGTTGCTTATCAGCTTAAGGAGATTTTGGGCTGAGACGATGGGGTTTTCTAGATATACAATCATGTCATCTGCAAACAGGGACAATTTGAGTTCCTCTTTTCCTAACTGAATGCCCTTTATTTCCTTCTTCTGCCTGATTGCCCTGGCCAGAACTTCCAACACTATGTTGAATAGGAGTGGTAGGAGAGGGCATCCCTGTCTTGTGCCGGTTTTCAAAGGGAATGCTTCCAGTTTTTGTCCATTCCATATGATATTGGCTGTGGGTTTGTCATAGATAGCTGTTATTATTTTGAGATACATCCCATCAATACCTAATTTATTGAGAGTTTTTAGCATGAAGGGTTGTTGAATTTTGTCAAAGGCCTTTTCCGCATCTATTGAGATAATTATGTGGTTTTTGTCTTTGGTTCTGTTTATATGCTGGATTACGTTTATTGATTTTCGTATGTTGAACCAGCCTTGCATCCCAGGGATGAAACCCACTTGATCATGGTGGATAAGCTTTTTGATGTGCTGCTGGATTCAGTTTGCCAGTATTTTATTGAGGATTTTTGCATCAATGTTCATCAAGGATATTGGTCTAAAATTCTCTTTTTTTGTTGTGTCTCTGCCAGGCTTTGGTATCAGGATGATGCTGGCCTCATAGAATGAGTTAGGGAGGATTCCTTCTTTTTCTATTGACTGGAATAGTTTCAGAAGGAATGGTACCAGCTCCTCCTTGTACCTCTGGTAGAATTCAGCTGTGAATCCATCTGGTCCTGGACTTTTTTTGGTTGGTAAGCTATTAATTATTGCCTCAATTTCAGAGCCTGTTATTGGCCTATTCAGAGATTCAACTTCTTCCTTGTTTAGTCTTGGGAGAGTGTATGTGTCGAGGAATTTATCCATTTCTTCTAGATTTTCTAGTTTATTTGCATAGAGGTGTTTGTAGTATTCTCTGATGGTAGTTTGTATTTCTGTGGGATCGGTGGTGATATCCCCTTTATCATTTTTTATTGCGTCTATTTGATTCTTCTCTCTTTTCTTCTTAATTAGTCTTGCTAGCTGTCTATCAATTTTGTTGATCTTTTCAAAAAGCCAGCTCCTGGATTCATTGATTTTTTTGAAGGGTTTTTTGTGTCTCTATTTCCTTCAGTTCTGCTCTGATCTTAGTTATTTCTTGCCTTTTGCTAGCTTTTGAATGTGTTTGCTCTTGCTTTTCTAGTTCTTTGAATTGTGATGTTAGGGTGTCAATTTTGGATCTTTCCTGCTTTCTCTTGTGGGCATTTAGTGCTATAAATTTCCCTCTACACACTGCTTTTAATGTGTCCCAGAGATTCTGGTATGTTGTGTCTTTGTTCTCATTGGTTACAAAGAACATCTTTATTTCTGCCTTCATTTCGTTATGTACCCAGTAGTCATTCAGGAGCAGGTTGTTCAGTTTCCATGTAGTTGAGTGGTTTTGAGTGAGTTTCTTAATCCTGCGTTCTAGTTTGGTTGCACTGTGGTCTGAGAGACAGTTTGTTATGATTTCTGTTCTTTTACATTTGCTGAGGAGTGCTTTACTTCCAAGTATGTGGTCAATTTTGGAATAGGTGTGGTGTGGTGCTGAAAAAAATGTATATTCTGTTGATTTGGGGTGGAGAGTTCTGTAGATGTCTATTAGGTCCGCTTGGTGCAGAGCTGAGTTCAATTCCTGGATATCCTTGTTGACTTTCTGTCTCGTTGATCTGTCTAATGTTGACAGTGGGGTGTTAAAGTCTCCCATTATTATTGTGTGGGAGTCTAAGTCTCTTTATAGGTCACTCAGGACCTGCTTTATGAATCTGGGTGCTCCTGTATTGGGTGCATATATATTTAGGATAGTTAGTTCTTCTTGTTGAATTGATCCCTTTACCATTATGTAATGGCCTTCTTTGTCTCTTTTGATCTTTGTTGTTTTAAAGTCTGTTTTATTCGAGACTAGGATTGCAATCCCTGCCTTTTTTTGTTTTCCATTTGCTTGGTAGATCTTCCTCCATCCCTTTATTTTGAGCCTATTTGTGTCTCTGCATGTGAGATGGGTTTCCTGAATACAGCACACTGATGGGTCTTGACTTTTTATCCAATTTGCCAGTCTGTGCCTTTTAATTGGAGCATTTAGCCCATTTACATTTGAGGTTAGTATTGTTATGTGTGAATTTGATTCTGTCATTATGATGTTAGCTGGTTATTTTGCTCATTAGTTGATGCAGTTTCTTCCTAGCACTGATGGTCTTTACAATTTGGCATGTTTTTGCAGTGGCTGGTACCGGTTGTTCCTTTCCATGTTTAGTGCTTCCTTCAGGAGTTCTTGTAAGGCAGGCCTGGTGGTGACAAAATCTCTCAGCATTTGCTTGTCTGTAAAGTATTTTATTTCTCCTTCACTTATGAAGCTTAGTTTGGCTGGATATGAAATTCTGGGTTGAAAATTCTTTTCTTTAAGAATGTTGAATATTGGCCCCCACTCTCTTCTGGCTTGTAGAGTTTCTGCCAAGAGATCTACTGTTAGTCTGATGGGATTCCCTTTGTGGGTAACCCGACCTTTCTCTCTGGCTGCCCTTAACATTTTTTCCTTCATTTCAACTTTGGTGAATCCGACAATTATGTGTCTTGGAGTTGCTCTTCTCGAGGAGTATCTTTGTGGCATTCTCTGTATTTCCTGAATTTGAATGTTGGCCTGCCTTGCTAGATTGGGGAAGTTCTCCTGGATAATATCCTGCAGAGTGTTTTCCAACTTGATTCCATTCTCCCCGTCACTTTCAGGTACACCAATTAGACGTAGATTTGGTCTTTTCACATAGTCCCATATTTCTTGGAGGCTTTGTTCATTTCTTTTTTATTCTTTTTTCTCTAAACTTCTCTTCACGCTTCATTTCATTCATTTCATCTTCCATTGCTGATACCCTTTCTTCCAGTTGATCGCATCGGTTACTGAGGCTTGTGCATTCGTCACGTAGTTCTCATGCCATGGTTTTCAGCTCCATCAGGTCCTTTAAGGACTTCTCTGCATTGGTTATTCTAGTTATCCATTTGTCTAATTTTTTTTTCGAAGTGTTTAACTTCTTTTGCCATTGGTTCGAACTTCCTCCTTTAGCTCGGAGTAGTTTGATATTCTGAAGCCTTCTCTCAACTCGTCAAAGTCATTCTCCGTCCAGCTTTGTTCCATTGCTGGTGAGGAGCTGCGTTCCTTTGGAGGAGGAGAGGCACTCTGATTTTTAGAGTTTCTGGTTTTTCTGCTCTGTTTTTTCCCCATCTTTGTGGTTTTATCTACCTTTGGTCTTCGACGATGGTGACGTACAGATGGGTTTTTGGTGTGGATGTCCTTTCTGTTTGTTAGTTTTCCTTCTAACGGTCAGGACCCTCAGCTGCAGGTCTGTTGGAGTTTCCTGGAGGTCCACTCCAGACCCTGTTTGCCTGGGCATCAGCAGCGGTGGCTGCAGAAAAGCAGATATCGGTGAACCGAAAATGCTGCTGCCTGATCATTCCTCTGGAAGTTTTGTCTCAGAGGAGTACCCGGCCGTGTGAGGTGTCAGTCCGACCCTACTGGGGGTTGCCTCCCAGTTAGGCTACTCGGGGGTCAGGGACCCACTTGAGGAGGCAGTCTGCCCGTTCTCAGTTGTCCAGCTGCATGCTGGGAGAACCACTACTCTCTTCAAAGCTGTCAGACAGGGACATTTAAGTCTACTGAGGTTATTGCTGTCTTTTGTTTGTCTGTGCCCTTCCCCCAGAGGTGGAGCCTACAGAGGCAGGCAGGCCTCCTTAAGCTGTGGTGGGCTCCACCCAGTTCGAGCTTCCCGGCAGGTTTGTTTACCTACTCAAACCTAAGCAATGGTGGGCGCCCCTTCCCCAGCCTCGCTGCCGCCTTGCAGTTTGATCTCAGACTGCTGTGCTAGCAATGAGTGAGGCTCTGTGGGCGTAGGACCCTCCAAGCCAGGTGCGGGATATAATCTCCTGGTGTGCCGTTTGATAAGCCCGTTGGAAAAGCACAGTATTTGGGTGGGAGTGACCCAATTTTCCAGGTGCCGTCTGTCACCCCTTTCTTTGACTAGGAAAGGGAATTCCCTGACCCCTTGCGCTTCCCGGGTGAGGCGATGCCTCGCCCTGCTTCAGCTCATGCACAGTGTGCTGCACCCACTGTCCTGCACCCACTGTCCGGCACTCCCCAGTGAGATGAACCCGGTACCTCAGTCGGAAATGCAGAAGTCACCCGTCTTCTGCATCGCTCACACTGGGAGCTGTAGATTGGAGCTGTTCCTATTCAGCCATCTTGGCTCCACCTGTATCTCTTTTTAAAAGAATTCTCATCCGCTGTCTGCCTGTAGTTCTTTGGTATTTTTGTAACATTCTGTGTGGCATACTTCTTTGAATCACAGTAGTCCATCCTTATCTGCAGTTTTGCTTTCTCCAGTTTCAGTTACCCACAGTCAACTGTGATCCAAAAATATTAAATGAGTAGACTGCAGGACAAGATATTTTGAGAGAAAGAAACATTTCATATACATAACTTTTATTACCGTATGTTATAATTATTCTATTCTATTATTTATTGTTGTTAATCTCTTACTGTGCCTAATTTGTAAATAAAGTTTTATCATAGATATTTATATATGGGGAAAAAATAGTCTGTCGGATTTAGCACTATCTAAGGTTTCAGACATCTACTGGGGGTCTTGTAACGTCCCCCACAGGTAAGGGAGAACTACTGTATTTTAATTAAAATCTTAGGGAAACATATAAAGTAAAATATGTTCTTTTAATTAATGAAAGATAATTAGTTTATTACTTTTTTTTTTTTTCTGTAAATGTCAGGCATGACTAACTTACGGCGGGCACTGGGAATGGAAATTTGTTCAACCTGCACTGTGTTTCAGTGGTCTCCAAGCTTTTGGACCACTTAATATGGACTCTTAATATTAAAAAATTAAAAGGACGGGCCCAACCTAAGGTTGACAGTTTTTAATATGTACTGGGCAAAATAAACTCTACTATCTTACTATCAACCTAATGTCAAAAAAGTAATATTTTTACCTTACACCAAGAGAGATCTATAATTAGAATAAAGGACAGTCCTTCACATCAGAAGAAAGTTGGCAGCATTTTGCTAGGATATATTTTTGAAAATCTAAATGTAGAAATTTATTAAACAGTTTCCACTTTGTGATGTTTACCGTTTAATTGTGGTCCGGATATAAGTTTGTCATCTTGGGAGTCTGTTCACCACAGACTAGAGGTCAAATGTCAACTTTTTCTAGGACTTTTTTTTTTTTTGTCGTCATCTTTTCTGTGTAAATTTGATGGCATTTAAGTATGCTAGCTGTAGTGAAAGCTACATAATACTGTTTCAGTATATCTTGAGCACACCTAAAAGCCATAGAACAACGGCTTCCTTGCCTTCAGTTGCTTCTCCTGCCTTCTCCCTGAATAATCTGGGGGAAAATTCACACTTCTTGCCTGGTTAGTGAGAGTAGGAAGGGAGTTTTAGAGCAGCCTCTCTCAGTGGCTGCCGTAGAGGCAGAAAAATGTGATACCTTTCCTTATCACATTGGCTAAGGTCACATATGACCTAAGGGTCATAGCCAACACTCCTATAGCAAAACACTGGTTAACAAGAGAAAAACACAACAAATTTATTTAATCCAAGTTTTATGTGACATGGCAGCCTTCAGAAATGAAGACTCAAATATGCAGGTAAAACTGTCTGTTTTTATGCTTATGTTTGACAAAGAATGGAAGAATGTACAGCCATGTAGAAAGGTGATTGGACAAACAGGTGCGATGTAGTGGTAGTAAACTGAAGAAACCCGCAAGGCCTGTCTGTTCAGGTCTTTCTTGGTCTTTCTGTGTAGCTTTCCTTCTTCCTGGGCATGGGGCAGGACCCTTACTGAAGGAGGGTCTTACGATATAGAGAGGGTGGGGAAGGTTGGAATAATATTTCTAGGTTTTACAGCTTACTTTGGAGAAGAGGGGAGCCAGAAGCAGGAAGGCAGGAAAAGATCAGAGACCTTGGTTCTGAGGCTGCTTCTGAGGCCTTCTAATCTCTCTTAGTTTAAAGTACTCAGCATGCTAAAGCACCATACTTTGGGGTATCATGTTCTAAGCCCTAACACTGCTCATACCTAGGACTTAGCTTAAGGCTTTGCTCATTGGCATATAGTAGTAGAACTTATTTGAGAAGAATGCTATGGCCTGGTGGAGATGTTATCACTGACACATGCCAGTGTGTAGACCAGCTTTTAGGGACCATTGATTGGTATTTTCTCTGTAGAGATAAAAGGGTAATAAACTGCCCTGGTGATTGAAATGGGTGCTACTAGCAGTAGACCTATCCTATTTCAGCATGGGCTTGTCTGAAGGGAGTATTTTAACAGAGAGAGTACAATAAGCAAACTCCAGTTTTTCCTAGGCAGACTTTCACATTTCGCCTTATTTTTGATATACGTATTTAAATGAACACAAAAAACCATATCAAAACCTAACATCGGTTTTTGTGAACCTAGCTTGATTTGGAGCTCAAATTCTATCAGCAGGATCTGTTTCTTCTGGATTGAGGCTCTACGTGGTAGACCACAGCAATTTCAAACTCATCCGGTTCCTGTAAGTTAGTACAGGTGATCAAGGAGCTAAAATACATGCATTGGGTTATACTAGATTCCCCCTGAAACCCAGCTATAAGGGCAGATTAACCTCAATAATTGGGCTAAGAGTGGGATGTTATAGTTCTACGAAGGGAAAGACAGCTTAGATGTTTGGCATTAAAAACATTAGATGACTACCTACAGTGAGTATGTGTTGACTGAATTTCTCCACTTGAAATATATCTACAGTGAACAAATATAACAAAACTTGAGGGACGGCGTTGTCTCAAAGAAGACTAAAGAAAGGCCATATCTCATACTGCAAACTCAATGACATAATGTTTTAAACGACACAGTAAGAAGGCACTAGGCATTGAGCCAGCTTGCCTAAGCAAGAAGAAATTCTGAAGGATCTCTTTCACCTGCAAGTTGGAGAAATGAGAATTGGGGATGAGAGAAGAAATGGGTAGATCCCCACTTAGGGTCCATTTTTCCTCAAAGAACAGCCATTCTTCACTTATAACTGGCGGGTGGAATGGGGTCAAGATCTGAGAATGAGATTCCATAGCAGGAAATTCACAAGAGTATAACATAGGAACGACCAGGCGCAGTGGCTCACAGCTGTAATCCCAGCACTTTGGGAGGCTGAGGCGGGCGGATCACGAGGTCAGGAGTTTGAGACCAGCCTGACCAACATGGTGAAACCCCGTCTCTATTAAAAATAGAAAAATGAGTTGGGTGTGGTGGCGGGCACCTGTAATCCCAGCAACTCAGGAGGCTGAGGCAGGAGAATCGCTGGAACCCAGGAGGTGGAGGTTGCAGTGAGCCAAGATTGTGCCACTGCACTCCAGCCTGGATGGCAAAGCGAGACTCCATCTCAAAACAAAACGTAGGAACCAGCTTTGCTACTGGAATCCAAAGTCAAATGTACAAAGAAAAATACATTTTTATAAATAGAGGGCCTTGGGCCATAGAACATTAGACTGATTTGTTTTCTCAACAGGGCAGTTTATTCATTCCAAGATTGGGGATTATTCTGACAAGCCTGGTGAGCTGGCCATCTTAAAATAATGGTTAATACTTTTTTTTTTTTAAGCACTTCCTCCATGCCCAGCACTGTTCTAAGCCCTTTACCTCCATCTACTCATTTACATTCTCACAACAACCTGTGAGGTAGATACTATTGATATTTTTGTTCTACAGAGAAGGAATACAATGTACAGAGTTTAAATGACTTCATGTCACTGCTGGTGAGTGTTAGAGCTGACATTCAAACCCAGATGACAAGCTGGCAACTGAATCCATGAGTTTCACCTAGATCTAGATGATGCCTTATTGCCTTTCTATACTCTATTACAGGGAAAGTATGCAAAGACAAAGTTCTTAAAGATTCTAAACAAATTTGAACTTGTATAATATAATTTGAGTTTTGTTGTTTCTGTAGAAGTATGATTAAGAAAAAAAACAAAATTGTCTTGAAAGCAGAGGAGGACTATGCTTTGTCTGGATCCTTAGGAAATAGCCTCACTAAAGTGGCAAAAGAGCTGCAGCTCTCAGGGAAACAGTGAGCAGAGTATGAGGTGTTTAGAATCCCAGTGGCTCATTGAGAACAGTCACTAGGGATGCAGACTGCAGTCATCAACCCAGGTCTTTTTGGAATGGTGTGTGAGAGGGCTATTAACTTGTGCATAAGTTTTTAATCTGTTCAAGCAAATATAAAGGCCTTAGGCCGAGCACGGTGACTTAATGCCTGTAATCCTAGCACTTTGGAAGACTGAGGAGGCCAGGAGTTCAAGACTGGCCTGGGCAACAAAGCCAGACCCCATCTCTAAAAAGAATTTAATTAGCTGGGCATGGTGTTACCTGCCTATAGTCCCAACTACTTGCAAGATAGAGGTGGAAGGATCGCTTGAGCTCAGCAGTGAGCTCCAGCCTAGGTGACAGAGAAAGACCCTGTCTCTTTAAAGCAAAACAAAAGCAAAACTTAAGTTTTGAAGTTTACTATATACCCACCTAGGGATATTTTGGAGCTGATACTAATATATTAACTTACATTTTAAAGTTGATGCATTATGAAAATTACACTTGAGCTGATTAATAATACATATAAAAGGCAAACAGCTATCTTAGTATATTTGCTTTTTTATGCATTATGTTTAAGATGATGTGTCATAAAAATGTAATAATTTTAAACATTTAAAATCTTCCTAATGTGGAAATAAAGCACAAGATACACAGATAAGATATTTTCTTAAGTGGGAAAATATAGGCACAAATATAAGTAACACTGATTGAAATGGAATCCAAATGGGGTCACTCATCTATTCCACATTTTGTAATAAAATGGTACAGGTCTCTAAAATTAAACTCGATAACAAATTAAGTTAAAAAAAAGAATCAGCACAAAATCTACTACAGTGTTCTACTAATAGATCTAAAGTTTCAATTTCCAAGCTAATGAGAATTAGTGTTGGTTATTTTTTCAATTCTGAAAATCCTGTACAGACATAATTAGTTACGTTTCAATTTGTGTACCATGGCGACATTTAGCTCTCTCACCTAGCAGTGTCTGGGACATAGAAGAAGCTTAATAAATACTTATTAATGTTGAACACATTATCAAGACTCAACAGAAAATTATTTGATGGGGAATCAAAATTGCACTTTGAAAAACAGGTGGCTTGTTCAACAATATCTGCAGGCATGTTGCTAAGGTGTTTGAATATTTTTGGAAGTTAAAGATGGCTTTGCTATTTTTTGAGACAGGGTCTCACTTTGTCGCCCAGGCTGGAGTCCTGAGTAGTTAGGACTACAGGCATGCACCACCACACCTGGCTAATTTTTGTATTTTTTGTTAGAGATGGGGTTTTGCCATGTTGCCCAGTATGGTCTCAAACTCTTGGGCCCAAAGGATCCACCCACTTCGGCCTCCCAAAGTGCTGGGATTTCAGGCATGAGCCACTACACCCGGTGAGCAATTCTTGACTCAGTAACATGCTGACAGAGAACAAGTTCCTTTCTGAATAAAGATAAGAGTTTCATCTAAATAGAAAAAGAGTCTATCAGTTAACAGGAGGATCTATATGCTATATAAAATCAGCCCTTTCTTGGTATTGTTAATATATTGTGGTGTGAAATATGAAAAGTGTATGATATTGTGTGAAGAATGTTTCAAGTTTAGACACACATTTTCCTTTTTCCTTAGCAACTAGGCAAGCTGGAAGTAGCAGCTGAGGATAAGGTCTAGCAAATGGAAAAACTTCAAGGGAGAAGTTATTTTACTCGACTTAATGTTTATGAGAATTTTGGAAACAGGCAATGTTTGAGATTCAAATAAATGTTATCTATATAATGGCAAATCTTGAATATTTTAACTTGTTTTCCAAAAAGCTCTATATTCTGGCACCAACATGGTATTGTGGGGGAAAAAAGTTGAGAATTAAGATGCAGGCCAGTCTTTGCTCTACTACTGAAACTGATACATGACCTTGTGCAAGTTAGTTACCTTTTTTGAGGGTCACTTTTCTCATCTGGCCATACTCTACTATGTGTGGTTTCCCAGACTTGGGGGAAATGAGGAAGATTTTCTTTTATTCCCAATTAACTAAAAGTAATTATCATGAATATTTGTTGAATTTTATGTTTTTCTGTACCTATATAAATTTTTATCTTTAACCTATTAATGTGATTTACATTAACAGGCTTTTGAAAAAAAATATTGAATTAACTTTGCTTTCTTGGAATAAATCCAGTTTAGTCATGTGCAGTCTTTTTTTTTAACACAGTGTTGGCATCAGTTTATGAATATTTTGTTTGGAATTTTTACATCTATAGTCATGAGTAAGATTGGGTTATAATATTCCCATGTATATTTTTCTATTTCCTGAAAAAGTTTGAATAAGATTATTGTTTTTGAACTCACTTATAAAACTATCTGGTCTTCTGGGGATTTTTTTGTAGGAAGAGTTTTTAAAGGTACTCATTATATTTCTTTAACAGTTATTAAATCATTCAGTTATTGTATTTCTTCTAAGTTTTGATCATTCATATTTTTTGAGAAATTTGTCTCTTTTTCTTGCTTTCAAATTAATTGGTGTAAAGAATTCATAGTATATAATTTTATCTTTTAGATATCTGCTACATCCATAGCATCTACTTAATTTTTTTTTTTTTTTAAGAGGCAGGGTCTCCCTGTGTTGTCCAGGCTGGTCTCAAACTCCTGGGCTCAAGTGATCTGCCAGCCTTGGCCTCCCAAAGTGCTGGAATTACAGGCATGAGCCACCGCACTCAGCCTACCTTTTTCTTATAATGTTTATTCATACCTTTTTTTCATCCTCACCAAGATTTGCTCATTTTATTAATCGTTTCAAAGAACCAATGGATAGCCTTGTTCATATTCTTCTATTTTGTTTCATCTTTCATTTCTTTCTTTCTTTTTTTCTTTTTTTTTTTTTTTTTTTTGAGACAGAGTCTCGCTCTGTTGCCCTGGCTGGAGTGTAGTGGCACGATCACAGCTCACTGCAAACTTCGCCTCCCAGGTTCAAGTGATTCTCCTGCCTCAGCCTCCTGAGTAGCTGGGATTACAGGCGTGTGCCACCCGACTAATTTTAGTATTTTTAGTAGAGACATGTTTCACCGTGTTGGTCAGGCTGGTCTCGAACTCCTGACCTCGTGATCCACCCACCTCTGGCTCCCAAAGTGCTGGGATTACAGGCCTGAGCCACCGCTCTCGGCCCATTTCTTTCTTCTTCCTTTTTTTTTTTTTTATATGTTCTTTACTTTGGGTTGATTCTGCTGTTATTTTGATAAAGTTGTAATTAGGATGCTTAGTTTATTAATTTTAGCATTTCTTCTTTCCTTGTAGGACTTTTTTATAGCTGCTTTCCCGAAACTACAGGTTTTGATAAATAGTATCTTTTTCATTTTTTATTTCTAACATTTTGTAATTTCCATTAAGATTTCTTCTTGGACCATGGATTATTTAGAAGTACGTGTGTATGTGCATAAATGCATGTGCATATATGGGTGTGAGCACACATACGCGTTCTCCAAATGCACAAGGTTTTTTTCAATTACCGTTTTCTTAATGATTTCTACATTATATTATGGTCAGATAACTTCCAGATACTTTGTGGACTGGTGCCTGGTCGGTTGTTACAAACGTGTACTTTCCAATGCTTAGGTGCAGTGCCTTTTTCTCATCTGCCTTTAGCACTTACCCAACCCATCTCACTTGCTTAACTCCCATGCAGCTCGGACTTTCCCTGATCTCCTCGATCCTGATTGAAAGCTCTCACTCCTAAATGTCCTCATTACCTCTTGGCATGCTCCTATTACAGCGTTTATCATGGTGTCTTGTATTTATTTACTGCTCTGCCTTCCTTACAAGAATAGACACTGAGGGCTGTTTTGAGAAAAAGGACTCATTGTCCTTAGACCTAGTATTTAAGTGGCAGATCTTTTGTTTCTCAACCTCTCCACATGGTAACTTCTATTCATCCTTCAAAATCCAGTTCAAAGATGATTTTTTTTTTTTTTGAGATGGAGTCTTGCTCTGTCACCCAGGCTGGAGTGCAGTGGTGCAATGCCAGCTCACTGCAACCTCCGCCTCCCGGGTTCAAGCCATTCTTGTGCTTCAGCCTCCTGAGTAGCTGGGACTACGGGCATGCACCACCATACCCGGCTAGTTTTGTATTTTTAGTAGGGACAGGTTTTTGCCACTTTGCCCAGGCTGGTCTTGAACTCCTAACCTCAAGTCATCCACCTACCTTGCCCTTCCAAAGTGGTGGGATTACAGGCGTGAGCCACCATGCCCGGCCAAGACTACTTCTGATGTGAGGAGTGTGCTGGTCCAGACACCACACTGGAAGAATCACTGAAGAAAGCAATTCCCATTTGCCCTGTGTGAGGAAAACTCAATTTCCCCATATACGTGGCACGCTTCTAGGTGCTCCTTGGTATGATTCCCTTTGTTGAGCCAGAGCCCTCCGTTAGTCCTGAGCTTTAAAACAAAAGTTTGTCTCCAACCAGTTCAGTTTGCTTCCCCTCCTAGGTCTGCTTCTCCAATTCCATAGTTTCTTTGAGAAAGAGGTTTTCACCCTAATTCTCTGTAGGTCCATTTACTCCAACCTCAGAGCAAAGCTACTTTCCTCCTATTCCTCTGACCCCCTGACCCAGTTAGTATCCCTAGGGCTCTGCCCCTTCAGCAGGATTTCCCTGATCTCAAACACCCATACTTCCCCTTAGTTTCCTGGAACTGACCTTCTATCTGCATAAATACAACCTGGATTCTCTAGCTCACTGGTTTTCTCAATCCTGTCTCCATTGCTGCTCAGCAGAAAGTCCAGGGATCCAGATCCTCCATGCTGGATCACAGCATCCGGGGACCTTTGACATTCCCCTCATCCATCATCTTCAGCTCTATCCAGGTAAGCTCCTTTCTCTCTGCAAAAGGTTTCTGCTCTTCTCTGCTGTGTCCCCACTCTTTGATCCAAGTCTGAGTCCCACCTTCTCATGCCCAGTCTGAGTCCCACCTTTTCATGCCCCGCAACCCCAAGCTCATCTTCCTATATGAGATTGCAGAGGAAACTAGGGTGTGCTGCCATTTGATTTAACCCACTTCTCTTTCTCCCAGCCAGGCTGATTACCCCTCAAGGCCATCAAGGCTTTGGGAGGGGAGGGGTTTTATCTTGGGGGAGAACAAAATTAAACTGTGCTCAAATTACTGATGAGTTAAAGTTTTATAATACTATACAATAACATTTATCCCAAACAGAATATTACATTTTTGATGAATCATAAGGCACTTTAAGTGATTAAAATGCCTTTTGTCATTAGGCATATTAATTATTATGGGTAAGTGAAAATGCAAAAAAATGAAATTAGCAAATCTCTCTGGTTGATAGCATGATGGATATGTCAGCTTTTCCTCTACTAGAAAGGAGATAAAATAGAGTAACATCAGTGTGCTCAATATCAGCCTCTATGGCCTATATTTCAGGTTGGTAATGGTACTAAAAACTTCCTGACATACAAAACTTATTGGAGTATAATTATGAAAGTCCATTTAATAGTTTTAAAGCACTAACATTAAAGTTATTCTATATAGGAGAATTCAGCCCATAATTAATGTTCATCACAATATGCACTAAATCTTTCTGGAGTATCATCCCCATCTATCTAATCAGAAAGTTCTTGCCCTACTAAAAAGATACTAAACAAATCCGCTATATCCAATTATATTTTATTTCATCTAGTTTATAGTATTTCTTTGAAGCTTAAAAGTTATACGTCAGATGCAAAAAGAATTTGCAGCAGCATTCCAAAACAGGGGAACCATTTATGTTTTCATAAAACACAACTGATTTATGAAGAAAAAAAAGATCTCTTTCTATGAAAATAACTTTCAAACAGTTTTAGGGTCCAACTACCATTATCATGATTTTCTCCACAGAAAATGGTCTGATGTAGGCTGCAGTCAATTGCTACATAATTTTTTATCCATCAAGGCTTAATGGAAAGAAGATGAAAAGGAAATATAAATTTAAAATCTCTGTTCATGGTCTAATGGCCTATTATCCAGCCAACTTTCTACTTGCAGAAAGCCTTCATTAAGACACCATTAAGGATAGCATTAAAACTTCTGAGCTGTTCTGGGCTGTAAGTTACGTCTCACATAACAAATTTTACTTGCGCTCCTTCAGCTTTAATATCTATATGTAAATATCTATTGTGTTACTTATATCCCACCATAGGAATGTAATAGTACAGACTTGCAAAATATAGTCCTCAGTTTGAAAAATTTCTTCTTGAAAGTATAAAATTTGATGAATTCTTTTTAAAAAGAGGTCGGGGCAGGAGAGTAATGGGATGGATTTTAATTACTCCTTTAATGCCTGTATTGAAGTTCTAAAGGACAGCCTATTTGGCACAAGAGTAAAAACATACCCAGCACTTTCATCAAGACCATGACCTTCCAATCAATGGAGTGTGTGATCTCCAGGCCAACTTAGATCATTTTCTGAAAGAAGCTGCTGTAACATTTCTCTCCACTCTAAACTGTTCCCCTTGGAAGTAGTTTCAGGGCCTCGCCTCTCTCATTCCCAACGTTTGCCCATTATGGGTCATTTGAGGAAGTACCATAAATTTTCTTCACCCTAAATATTCCGTTTTGATAGTGAAGATTGGTTTCCTGAACTTTCGATTCAAACTAGAAATCCACTATCATTTATTTATTTATTTTTTATTTTTTGAGACAGAGGCTTGCTCTGTCGCCCAGGCTGGAGTGTGTTGGTGCGATCCCTCCTAGCCCTTTCCTGTCCGCTTTGCTCTTGTTCTCATATCTCCAGCCATCTCTGGCTCACACTTGACCTCAGTCTAAGAGCAGCTCTGGTGTTGGGAAGGGGGTATATATGAAGCAACTACCTGAGAAGATCATTGACTCAGGATGAAGCCGCATTCTGCCCTGAGGCCCTCAGCCTAGGAGCTAGACCTTTGTCTACCACCCTTTCTTTGGATCTTTTTTTTTTCTTTTTTTTTAAATTATTATTATACCTTAAGTTTTAGGATACATGTGCACAACGTGCAGGTTTGTTACATATGTATACATTTGCCATGTTGGTGTGCTGCACCCATTAACTCGTCATTTAGCATTAGGTATGTCTCCTAATGCTATCCCTCCCCCCTCCCCCAACTCTACAACAGTTCCCGGAGTGTGATGTTCCCCTTCCTGTGTCCATGTGTTCTCATTGTTCAATTCCCACCTATGAGTGAGAACATGCGGTGTTTGGTTTTTTGTCCTTGCGATAGTTTGCTGAGAATGATGCTTTCTAGCTTCATCCATGTCCCTACAAAGGACATGAACTCATCATTTTTTAGGGCTGCATAGTATTCCATGGTGTATATGTGCCACATTTTCTTAATCCAGTCTATCGTTGTTGGACACTTGGGTTTGTTCCAAGTCTTTGCTATTGTGAATAGTGCCGCAATAAACATACGTGTGCATGTGTCTTTATAGCAGCATGATTTATAATCCTTTGGGTACATGCCCAGTAATGGGGTGGCTGGGTCCAATGGTATTTCTAGTTCTAGATCCCTGAGGAATCGCCACACCAACTTCCACAATGGTTGAACTAGTTTACAGTCCCACCAACAGTGTAAAAGTGTTGCTATTTCCCCACATCCTCTCCAGCACTTGGGTTGTTTCCTGACTTTTTAATGATCACCATTCTAACTGGTGTGAGATGGTATCTCACTGTGGTTTTTATTTGCATTTCTCTGATGGCCAGTGATGATGAGCATTTTTTCATGTGTTTTTTGGCTGCATAAATGTCTTCTTTTGACAAGTGTCTGTTCATATCCTTCGCCCACTTTTTGATGGGGTTGTTTGTTTTTTTCTTGTAAATTTGTTTGAGTTCATTGTAGATTCTGGATATTAGCCCTTTGTCAGATGAGTAGGTTGCAAAAATTTTCTCCCATTCTGTAGGTTGCCTGTTCACTTTGATGGTGGTTTCTTTTGCTGTGCAGAAGCTCTTTAGTTTAATTAGATCCCATTTGTCAATTTTGGCTTTTGTTGCCATTGCTTTTGGTGTTTTAGACATGAAGTCCTTGCCCATGCCTATGTCCTGAATGGTATTGCCTAGGTTTTCTTCTAGGGTTTTTATGGTTTTAGGTCTGACATGTAAGTCTTTAATCCATCTTGAATTGATTTTTGTATAAGGTGTAAGGAAGGGATCTAGTTTCAGCTTTCTACATATGGCTAGCCAGTTTTCCCAGCACCATTTATTAAATAGGGAATCCTTTCCCCATTGCTTGTTTTTGTCAGGTTTGTCAAAGATCAGATAGTTGTAGATATGTGGGATTATTTCCGAGCGCTCTGTTCTGTTCCATTGGTCTATATCTATCTCCGTTTTGGTACCAGTACCATGCTGTTTTGGTTACTGTAGCCTTGTAGGATAGTTTGAAGTCAGGTAGCGTGATGCCTCTGGCTTTGTTCTTTTGGCTTAGGATTGACTTGGCAATGTGGGCTCTTTTTTGGTTCCATATGAACTTTAAAGTAGTTTTTTCCAATTTTGTGAAGAAAGTCATTGGTAGCTTGATGGGGATGGCATTGAATCTATAAATTACCTTGGGCAATATGGCCATTTTCATGATATTGATTCTTCCTACCCATGAGCATGGAATGTTCTTCCATTTCTTTGTGTCCTCTTTTATTTCATTGAGCAGTGGTTTGTAGTTCTCCTTGAAGTGGTCCTTCACATCCCTTGTAAGTTGGATTCCTAGGTATTTTATTCTCTTTGAAGCAATTGTGAATGGGAGTTCACTCATGATTTGGCTCTCTGTTTGTCTGTTATTGGTGTATAAGAATGCTTGTGATTTTTATACATTGATTTTGTATCCTGAGACTTTGCTGAAGTTGCTTATCAGCTTAAGGAGATTTTGGGCTGAGACAGTGGGGTTTTCTAGATATACAATCATGTCATCTGCAAACAGGGACAATTTGACTTCCTCTTTTCCTAATTGAATACCCTTTATTTCCTTCTCCTGCCTAATTGCCCTGGCCAGAACTCCAACACTATGTTGAATAGAAGTGGTGAGAGAGGGCATTCCTGTCTTGTGCCAGTTTTCAAAGAGAATGCTTCCAGTTTTTGCCCATTCAGTATGGTATTGGCTGTGGGTTTGTCATAGATAGCTCTTATTATTTTGAGATATGTCCCATCAATACCTAATGTATTGAGAGTTTTTAACATGAAGCGTTGTTGAATTTTGTCAAAGACCTTTTCTGCATCTATTGAGATAATCATGTGATTTTTGTCTTTGGTTCTGTTTATATGCTGGATTACATTTATTGATTTGTGTATGTTGAACCAGCCTTGCATCCCAGGGATGAAGCCCACTTGATCATGGTGGATAAGCTTTTTGATGTGCTGCTGGATTCGGTTTGCCAGTATTTTATTGAGGATTTTTGCATCAATGTTCATGAAGGATATTGGTCTAAAATTCTCTTTTTTGGTTGTGTCTCTGCCAGGCTTTGGTATCAGGATGATGCTGGCCTCATAACATGAGTTAGGGAGGATTCCCTCTTTTTCTATTGATTGGAATCGTTTCAGAAGGAACGGTACCAGCTCCTCCTTGTACCTCTGGTGGAATTCGGCTGTGAATCCGTCTGGTCCTGGGCTTTTTTTTGTTGGTAAGCTATTGATTATTGCCACAATTTCCGAGCCTGTTATTGGTCTATTCAGAGATTCAACTTCTTCCTGGTTTAGTCTTGGGAGGGTGTATGTGTCGAGGAATTTATCCATTTCTTCTAGATTTTCTAGTTTATTTGTGTAGAGGTGTTTGTAGTATTCTCTGATGGTAGTTTGTATTTCTGTGGGATCGGTGGTGATATCCCCTTTATCATTTTTTATTGCGTCTATTTGATTCTTCTCTCTTTTCTTCTTTATTAGTCTTGCTAGCAGTCTATCAATTTTGTTGATCTTTTCAAAAAACCAGCTCCTGGATTCATTAATTTTTGAAGGGTTTTTTGTGTCTCTATTTCCTTCAGTTCTGCTCTGATCTTAGTTATTTCTTGCCTTCTGCTAGCTTTTGAATGTGTTTGCTCTTGCTTTTCTAGTTCTTTGGATTGTGATGTTAGGGTGTCAATTTTGGATCTTTCCTGCTTTCTCTTGTGGGCATTTAGTGCTATAAATTTCCCTCTACACACTGCTTTTAATGTGTCCCAGAGATTCTGGTATGTTGTGTCTTTGTTCTCGTTGGTTACAAAGAACATCTTTATTTCTGCCTTCATTTCGTTATGTACCCAGTAGTCATTCAGGAGCAGGTTGTTCAGTTTCCATGTAGTTGAGCAGTTTTGAGTGAGTTTCTTAATCCTGAGTTCTAGTTTGATTGCACTGTGGTCTGAGAGACAGTTTGTTATGATTTCTGTTCTTTTACATTTGCTGAGGAGTGCTTTACTTCCAAGTATGTGGTCAATTTTGGAATAGGTGTGGTGTGGTGCTGAAAAAAATGTATATTCTGTTGATTTGGGGTGGAGAGTTCTGTAGATGTCTATTAGGTCTGCTTGGTGCAGAGCTGAGTTCAATTCCTGGATATCCTTGTTAACTTTCTGTCTCGTTGATCTGTCTAATGTTGACAGTGGGATGTTAAAGTCTCCCATTATTATTGTGGACTTGCTTTATGAATCTGGGTGCTCCTGTATTGGGTGCATATATATTTAGGATAGTTAGTTCTTCTTGTTGAATTGATCCCTTTACCATTATGTAATGGCCTTCTTTGTCTCTTTTGATCTTTGTTGTTTTAAAGTCTGTTTTATTCGAGACTAGGATTGCAATCCTTGCCTTTTTTTGTTTTCCATTTGCTTGGTAGATCTTCCTCCATCCCTTTATTTTGAGCCTATGTGTGTTTCTGCATGTGAGATGGGTTTCCTGAATACAGCACACTGATGGGTCTTGACTCTTTATCCAATTTGCCAGTCTGTGCCTTTTAATTGGAGCATTTAGCCCATTTACATTTAAAGTTAATATTGTCATGTGTGAATTTGGTCCTGTCATTATGATGTTAGCTGGTTATTTTGCTCGTTAGTTGATGCAGTTTCTTCCTAGCCTTGATGGCCTTTACATTTTGGCATGTTTTTGCAGTGTATGCCACATTTTCTTAATCTAGTCTATCATTGTTGGACATTTGGGTTGGTTCCAAGTCTTTGCTATTGTGAATAGTGCTGCAATAAACATACATGTGCATGTGTCTTTATAGCAGCATGATTTATAATCCTTTGGGTATATACTCAGTAATGGGATGGCTGGGTCAAATGGTATTTCTAGTTCTAGATCCCTGAGGAATCGCCACACCGACTTCCACAATGGTTGAACTAGTTTACAGTCCCACCAACAGTGTAAAAGTGTTCCTATTTCTCCACATCCTCTCCAGCACCTGGGTTGTTTCCTGACTTTTTAATGATTGCCGTTCTAACTGGTGTGAGATGGTATCTCATTGTGGTTTTGATTTGCATTTCTCTGATGGCCAGTGATGATGAGCATTTTTTCATGTGTTTTTTGGCTGCATAAATGTCTTCTTTTGACAAGTGTCTGTTCATATCCTTCGCCCACTTTTTGATGGGGTTGTTTGTTTTTTTCTTGTAAATTTGTTTGAGTTCGTTGTAGATTCTGGATATTAGCCCTTTGTCAGATGGTAGGTGGCAAAAATTTTCTCCCATTCTGTAGGTTGCCTGTTCACTTTGATGGTGGTTTCTTTTGCTGTGCAGAAGCTCTTTAGTTTAATTAGATCCCATTTGTCAATTTTGGCTTTTGTTGCCATTGCTTTTGGTGTTTTAGACATGAAGTCCTTGCCCATGCCTATGTCCTGAATGGTATTGCCTAGGTTTTCTTCTAGGGGTTTTATGGTTTTAGGTCTGACATGTAAGTCTTTAATCCATCTTGAATTAATTTTTGTATAAGGTGTAAGGAAGGGATCCAGTTTCAGCTTTCTACATATGGCTAGCCAGTTTTCCCAGCACCATTTATTAAATAGGGAATCCTTTCCCCATTGCTTGTTTTTGTCAGGTTTGTCAAAGATCAGATAGTTGTAGATATGCGGGATTATTTCTGAGGGCTCTGTTCTGTTCCATTGGTCTATATCTATCTCCGTTTTGGTACCAGTACCATGCTGTTTTGGTTACTGTAGCCTTGTAGGATAGTTTGAAGTCATGTAGCGTGATGCCTCTGGCTTTGTTCTTTTGGCTTAGGATTGACTTGGCAATGTGGGCTCTTTTTTGGTTCCATATGAACTTTAAAGTAGTTTTTTCCAATTTTGTGAAGAAAGTCATTGGTAGCTTGATGGGGATGGCATTGAATCTATAAATTACCTTGGGCAATATGGCCATTTTCACAATGTTGATTCTTCCTACCCATGAGCATGGAATGTTCTTCCATTTCTTTGTGTCCTCTTTTATTTCATTGAGCAGTGGTTTGTAGTTCTCCTTGAAGAGGTCCTTCACATCCCTTGTAAGTTGGATTCCTAGGTATTTTATTCTCTTTGAAGCAATTGTGAATGGGAGTTCACTCATGATTTGGCTCTCTGTTTGTCTGTTATTGGTGTATATAAGAATGCTTGTGATGTTTGCACATTGATTTTGTATCTTGAGACTTTGCTGAAGTTGCTTATCAGCTTAAGGAGATTTTGGGCTGAGACAGTGGGGTTTTCTAGATATACAATCATGTCATCTGCAAACAGGGACAATTTGACTTCCTCTTTTCCTAATTGAATGCCCTTTATTTCCTTCTCCTGCCTGATTGCCCTGGCCAGAACTTCTAACACTATGTTGAATAGGAGTGGTGAGAGGACATTCCTGTCTTGTGCCAGTTTTCAAAGGGAATGCTTCCAGTTTTTGTCCATTCAGTATGATATTGGCTGTGGGTTTGTCAGAGATATCCTACCATCCCCTAATTTGGGTTGATCTCATTGGTGTCTTGATTGCCTGTCTCTCTTCTTGGAATTGATCTGTGTTCCTCATCTCCCAGGCTCTGCTTGACCCCCTCATAGGCCTGCTGTGTTCTGTTGCCACCCAAATCCAGAGGAAAAAGACATCTAAGTCCCACTGCTGTTGTCTACCAGATAACTCTGACTTCAGGCAAGCAGCTGAACCCACCTTGGACTCCGTCTGTTTCTGTGACACCAGGGGTTATACTGGATCATCTCTAGGGTCTCCTAGAATTTGGAAACTCCTCTAGGAACCAAGGAGCCTCTTCCTTGTCTGTCTCCACCCATCCATCTTTTTTCTGACTGTTTCAAGCTAATAATCATGAATGCAAAGTGCTGTGACATGCAGGTAGAACTCCATCCATTTCAAAAGAAAAACATGTAAAGGTAAGAGCACTTTATTCTTATTTGAACCACACTGTATTGTTGATTACCGAGTGTGAAGGTAGTATGTTCAGAGTCTTGTTTTATGCCTTTGTAGCTGTGTTGCCAGCATTTGAAGGTAACTCCTCCACATAAGCGGCAGGAAAATGGCCTTTTTTCCCATTCAAAGATCCAAACCACCATCCTTCTTCTTTTTTCTCGTGTATAATCACAATGTCACCTGTGAAAATACAGTTAGACAAATGGGTCTCTGTGATGTGAACACATGCCTCAGCCCGATTGATAAGAGTTTTAAGGAGGTTCTGCTTCAAGGATTTACTTGGTAGTGTCATTTTCTGCACTTGATTCAGATGAAGCCAAATGTATCGAACACCTGTGTATAAAGCAGGCATAATCCAGAGGATACTAAAAAGAGTAAGATAATGAACAACTGAGATATATCATAAAATAATTGCTTAAAGACAGGATTGGCTGGGCGTGGTGGGTGACGCCTGTAATCCCAGCACTTTGGGAGGCCAAGGTGTGTGGATCACAAGGTCAGGAGTTCGAGACCAGCCTGACCAACATGGTGAAACCCCTTCTCTGCTAAAAATACAAAAATTAGCTGGGTGTGGTGGCGCACGCCTGTAATACCAGCTACTCAGGAGGCTGAGGCAGGAGAATCCTTGAACCCGGGAGGCAGAGGTTGCAGTGAGCTGAGATCATGCCACTGCACTCTAGCCTGGGCAACAGCAACAGGGCAAGACTCTGTCTCAGAAAAAAAAAACAGGATCACAGCCAGGCACGGTGGCTGACAGCTGTAATCCCAGCACGTTGGGAGGCCGCGATGGGCAGATTAGGCAGATTACTTGAGGTCAAGAGGTTGAGACCAGCCTGGCCAACATGGTGAAACCCCGTCTCTACTAAAAATACAAAAATTAGCCAGGCATGGTGGCACACGCCTGTAGTCCCAGCTATTTGGGAGACTGAGGCAGGAGAATCACTTGAATCCAGGAGACGGAGGTTGCAGTGAGCTTGGGAGACTGAGGCAGGAGAATCACTTGAATCCAGGAGACGGAGGTTGCAGTGAGCTAAGATCACACCACTGTACTGCAGCCTGGGTGACAGAGCAAGACTCTGCCTCAAAAAAAAAAATAAAAAAAGATCACGTTGGATCATATATCCTTATGCTGCCTGGCTCACTTTCTATTTCTATGTAGCTGATGGATTGTCACCAAACTCTTTCTTGGTGTCTGTACTTTGAGGGTTTCACATGCTGGTGTTTTTGATTGTTTGGCGTGTTGGCTGCTATAAGTATGTCTCACCAACAGTCTTTTCTTAAGATCAAGACAATGTCTCTGCATTATACCTGATTTCACAGGCCAAAAGTTTAACTCACAGCTTTGCACAGAAATGTAACTCCCCATTCAAAATGTAACTCCCCATTCAACAACTTAGACAACTTTAATACAACATCAATTTGGAGACAATATTTTTTAAAGCAATGATTCAAATAAAGAGAATTCCATAGAGAATTGGACAAGAAACATGGCTCTTGTCATAAAAGTAGAAAGATCTGCCCCCTTCAGGATCATCTGCCCCCGTCAGGATCCAAGAGCTACTTTTTCTTTGGCATCATTCTGAGGTGATTTTTCAGTCTTCCTTTCACTCTTTTCCTCAGCAACTTTCTTTCTAAGACAAAGGAGATTATTAACTCCTTTTCTATCTTTTCTACATTTTCTTAGTCATAAATCACTATTCTTAAAGGACATCATTCTCGGTCTCTAAGTTCTCCCTCGTCAGTAAATTGACATAATCTATTAACAAGAATTCAAACAAATAATGATTTCAAATTGTATTGCCAGCTTCCCTAAGCCTCCAACGTCGTGTTTCATTTAAAGAAACTGCTTAGAATATAAAGTATAAGTAGGCTTTGCAACCAACAGAGAACTGAAAACAAGATAATCAATTTATTGTGAATGATGTAACTTAAATGCTGCATCCATGGGTTCTAGGTGGCATCTGGGAAGTATGTCTTTTATTCACATAGGAAGAAAAGTAATTGCCTGGAGAGATATGACTGGCAAATGCTGCAAAGGAAACACCCAATAAATAGCAAATGTGTGGTGTCCCTGTCGTTTGGCTACAAAATGTATCTTGATTTTCCATTGGCTCTGGGAGCCATGTCCTTGTCGTGGATAATATTCTTTCTCCCATAACGTTACTCTTTCTCACTAACCCTTCCGTTTCCAGATCTCTGCATTAGCGCTAACATTCAAACATGGTTTCTAACTGGACACATAAAGAAATAAAGAAGGTTGAGGCTGGAGACTTTCTTCTTTAATAATGTTGTGGTTTACATTATAAAGCCACTACGTAATACCTTTCCATGTTAAGTAAAACTCTGTGACACAAAGAAGGGGATCTCACTCTTTAGACTGGCTGTAAAAAGCTTTTCTGAGAAGTAAGTGAGACCAGCACTAAGCTGGGAGTCAGCTGACCTAGGTTCTAGAATTTGCACTTACTTACACTAAGTTGAGAGAGGAGGTCACTTCACATTCCTGAATGTCTAGCTTCTAAAAAATAAAAAGGTGGGGTACACCTCTAATCACTTTCCATCACTGACATTCTACCCTAGTGTGCACTGTGATTAGGAGCATGACTGTGTTTCCAAGTTCAAGTCTTGTGTTGCCACAGCCTGTGACATTAGCCAAAGCACCTAACCTTCCTGTGTATCAGTCTCCTCTGCTATGAAATGGGAATACCAATAAAACCCTCCAAGGGTTTCATGAATATTAAATTGGACAATAGGCCTGCAACAATGTCTGACACACAGTAAACAGAATAAGCGTTAGCTATTATCATTATGCGAGCTTTTGTTTTAGATGTGCTTATCTTTCAAGAAGGGTGAACTGATTTGACATGGTAGTAACTCTTAAGGCTGCCACACTAAGACAGGGTTTTATTCATGCTAAGAATCTCAATATGGGAAGGCAATTAAAATATTTGAGAATGATTCTTACCCTTTTCCAAATTCAACTCATCATCTTGCCTGGCTTGAAAAGAATACAAGGCCTTGCAAAGTCTGCTGCTGAGCTGGGCTGCACCAGGGGCTGAAATAGATAAAGCTGTAATTAGTATGCTGTGTTAGCAGGCAAATGAATATGAGCTGAAGCTCTTTGGTTATTTAACAGTGTGATGCAGAGTTTCAATATATTAAATTTTTCTCAAAAGGAAAGTTTGTAATTTTATATAATGTTCATTCCTTGATTCAATAACCACTTATGATGCACTTTCTATATGTATGGACTGCATATGTTATATAACCAAAAACTATATTATAATACATGAAATAGCAAGTCTAGAGAAAAACATCATTGTATAATAATAGTAATTGCATGCATGTTTTGGAAAACATTCACCAGTTTTGCCATTCAGGTATAAATACGGGATATTTGGGGCATGTGCATGTTATCATCATCCCTAGCTGTGTATGGAACTGTTTCTCAAACAATGCAACAGTGACTCCTTAATATATTGTGTGAACCATAATGTCCTGGTTTTACTGAAGTTCTTTTTTTTTTTTTTAAACCAATTTCTAATTTAAAAAACTAGATAGTCAAGATTATGGTAATTATACTTGAACATGCAGGTACAGTGACACGTGTGTGTGTGCTGAAAGATGAAGAGCAGTGTGGTGTGTGGGTGCATGAATGACTGAAGTCAGATGGCTGCTAACAGGAGTTTGTAGGCCATGAGTCCAAGCCCTGGCAAACCACCTGGATCACCATGTGTCTCGCAGAGAGGACAGGCTTCTTATGGGAGTTTGGAGGAGGCTATGGAGACAGAGCGACAAAGCTCCTCACGATGGTTTAGGTGTGATTATGTTTATGGCAAATAACAGGCCATTTGAATAAGGTGGATGCCAGTCATCTGATATCTGAGGCAACTTCTCATAAGATACTTTCCCAACCCTCTACTCTTCTTAACTTTTTCCCATTTTTACATAAAGCTACAGAGTCTAACAAATTAATCGGTCCCGATGGAAATATAAATTTCCTTAAACAGATACAGGTCAAAGTGGCTCTGAAACTAAAATTTAAATGTAGCAATGTGCCCTGCCAGTAGGACCCAGGCCAAAATGATTGTGGGCATGGGATTACCTGGAGTTGAAGAACCTGGATTGCTCTGCCCACCAGAAGATGCCTTGCTCACAATATTCTCTAATCTCTTCATTAAAAAAGGCCGAGATATTTTCACATAGCTATGAGTATGCTCCTGTTCAAATGACATAAAAAGTCATATTTTGTAACACGATTATCATAAACATTCATGAAAATTAACTCTTCTGTAGCTGTTTTCCTCAAGTTGTTTTTTCTGTTTGTTTTTTCTTTTTTTTTTTTTAGACAGAGTCTTGCCCTGTCACCCAGGCTGGAGTGCAGTGGCATGATCTTGGCCCACTACAACCTCCACCTCCCGGGTTCAAGTGATTCTCCTGCCTCAGCCTCCCCCGTAGCTGGGATTACAGGTGCCCACCACCATGCCTGGCTAATTTTTGTATTCTTAGTAGAGACGGGGTTTCACCGTGTCAGCCAGGCTGCTCTCGAACTCCTGACCTCAGGTGATCCGCCTGCCTTGGCCTCCCAAAGTTCTGGGATTACAGGCATGAGCCACTGCGCCTGGACTGGAAGTTTTTAAACTGAGGGGTATAAATAATTCAAAGATTTCTAAGCCCTACTGTGTTTCAGTTTTGAGTTGAAGCCTTAATATTTTCACAATTACACAATTACTATACTTTATAGCCTGTGTTTCCAATTCTAACCTATGTGTCTAGGTCAAATAGTAATATTCATAGCATTACTTTTACAAATACAACTTTAGTTGGCTTAATGCAAGTGAAATGATCACAACCCTGTAAATGATTGAGATTGTTTTCGAGCTCTTGAGCCTTAGAAAACTGTCCCTTCACAAGATGATTACAGTTCCCCCTTCTGATCAGTAATAAAAATAGCTACAAGCATTTCAGAGCTGTACTGATGCATTATCTGCATTAGGCACCATCTTAAACAGATGAGACTAATACATACCACAAAATCTTATAATTTAGGTCTGAACGAATATTAAAATTTCAATTTAATAGAAATTTTACTGTAAAAGCACATCCAAAGGATGAAATTCAGGTATGATGAGAAAGAAGAAATCAAAAGTGTTTTTTAGCTTCTCATAGAAGTTTGGTGTACACAGAATGTATTCGGTTTTGTCTAGCTCTTGTTATTGTGCTCAAAAGAAAAATAAAAACATTTATCTTCTTAACTAACTGCATGAATATTAATATCACATAGAATTCCTAACACCTTTTTTGCCCTGATGCTACTTTAAGCCACTCCACCCAGCAGGCCCAATCAAGAAATTACAACCAGTCTCCTTAAATGTTACCTTTTCCCTCCACCTGAAGATGGAATTACTACAAGGATGGCTGGGTTGAGGTCTTTGCTCAAGTTCTGCTAACATTGATGACAGTTTGTAGGAGTTCGCTTCCAAAAGGTCTAGTTTCAAATTGTTCTGTGGATACATCATTTGGCCATGTGAGCAAATTTCTAGTAAATGAGGCACAACTGGATAGGAATATCAGAATAACTTTCAAAATAACAAAGGTTAGAAAAGTACGCATTTAACTCATACAGATATTCACAGAAAATGCCGAAGGAAAAAAAAATGGAGGAATAAACTCTTTAAGCAGTTTAGAGGGAGGTTTTAGTTGTTGAGTGTGTCTCATTCTGTACTCTGGGGGTGAACAGGAAACCTTGGTAATATATTAGTATTTTATGGCAATGAAGAGGTTTTACTCAATTTTCTGCTGAGGGACAAGAAAGGGGATAAGTGTTGATTGTAGAAGGCAGATTTTTGGTGGTCTGCGAAGAAGGTGAGCCATCAGTGCTAAATATTGTGAACAGAATTGAATTAACATCAATAGACGCAAATGAAATTGAATGTGAGGTTTGTTTGTTCTTTGATAAGGTGAGGTCTTATATTACCCACAAAGTTTACAGGAATACTTCTGGAAACTGGGAACAATATTTTAGGGCATTTGAGTATAAACATAATAAGTCAAGCTAAAGATACACTCCTAGTCTCTGTCTGTTCTTGATATGACCTTGAACTAGAAACTTTATAATTACCTTGTCAGGCTGGGTCCAGCCAGGGTGAATTAAATAACAGAATCTAAGCATTGGAAGGGTCTTGCTTATCCAGCCCCCTCCTCACCATTATCCCTCTCTCCCCCACACCTCCAGCATGGGAATTCCCAACCCTAATATCCCTGCCAGGGTGTCACAGCCATGGACAGAAGACATCCAATTGATGGAGAAAGTCTCTAATCGTTGGAGGAATCCACTGCATTGTGGGGCAGGCTTACCTAAGACAAAACTAAAAGCTCCCCCATGCTTTCTACCATTAGACCTTCACTTGATAGTCTCATAGAGCACATCTAGTTCTTCTTCTATGTGGCCCTCTTTCTGGTCTCTAAAGACAGTATTTAATCTAAGTGCCTCCAGTTTTCTCAACAATTTTTCTTATGACACTGCTTGTGAACATTCTTGATTCAAACATGGCACTTCAAGGACCAAGATATAATGAAATAAGGAAGAATGTAAATAAAAGTTTCCTCATCCTAGAAACCTTCCGTGGGTGGCACAAAATCTACCAGTATCACTAGTTTCTGTCTACCCAGATGCAGAGCATGCGTAATGAAATCATGTGGATATTTGGCATTCCTCACTTAAAGGTTCATAGTTGCTCCTTCACCAGATCATAAACATTGGAAGTTCCAAGGTCAGATGCTCTCCCTCCTTGTGTCCTCCACTGTGTGCTTCAGGTGAGAGGACCCAGATGATCCTAATACATGTATGCTGGTAATGACAATGACAAAATTCTGTGCAAGGACAGCCAAAGGAATAGATGTATAACCCAATGGCATCAGTAGTTAACTAAACAGCTTGTGCGGTCACAGAAAATGTCCTACAGTCTGTTTTATAATTTCATAAAAACTGTAGCCACGGGTCATTGCAGGTATGTTAGACCTCTGTTACCCAGTGCACACAATGCAGGCTATTTTCTTTTACAAGAAGTGTTAGGCTTGTTTCTGCAACAGCACCTTACTCAAGAAAGCCTATCTAAAAACTAGGTCAGCGATACCTCACTGCATCTGTCTTCTTTCACCAAAGAACTATTGAAGTTGCCAATCTGGGTACAATTATCAAGTACCTACCTTCACAAGAAAGTTAGGCTATAAGCAAGAAAAACAAAACGCCCAGATTCCTGTACCTTCAAAACATTGCTAAAAAATTTATCTCCTTAAATGATTCTCAGATTAACCCCAGTCCACTCATGATCTCTAATCACAGCAGAAACCCATATGTTGCACACTGGTGCTATATATCTGTTCATTTTTATTCCTGTGTAAAATTCATCAGCTTTTTGTTAACTATCCCTTTCCCTTCCTCTGAAGTGGCCAAAATGTCCATCAATCCCCACGAATGTCTATGGGGCTAGAGTTCACACACTCAGCACAAAGGCCAGGAGGCCCACCTCCCTGCCTCTTCTACCATCTCCCCACCCCAATTCCCACCCTTAAAGAACTTTGCCCTCAAAGTTGCTCCTGGTTTCCCCAGATTTTGCCTCACACACCAGACTGCCCTATTCCCTCTGCAACCACGTCTTTCCTTTCCCCTGTTATTCTCCGATAACCCTGAGATCAGCAGAGGGATGAATGGAAAATACCACCTTAATAAAAATTACTAGTTTTTGAGCTCCTCCTGTGAGCATTGTGCTGGTATTTACTAAATAATATTTCACCCTCACAAAAGCCCCATGAGGTAAAGTACCAATATCCCCATTTTGCGGATGAGAAAACTAAAGTTGACCCAGGTCCCTGTAAACAGCAGAGCTAAATCTAAATACAGGCCTTTCTGAATGCAGATCCTTTGTTTCCTGTCGCTTTTCTTAACTGGGTTAAAGTGCACATGGTTTCTAGGCCCTTAAAGAACGACTCTGTTTGGAGAATACTATTTTAGACACAATTCTTTTCCTAGGACACCAAAGCAAACATTTCTAGGTAGTTGTATTTTTCCAGATCCCTCAAATGACTTATGAAGCTGACCCTATAAGCTCCCCCACTAGATTGTTCTATGTCATGAGAAAGGAAAGGCAAACAAGGCCAAGTGGACCAGAAACAAGTATTCTAAAAATAACCCTTTTCATCACTACATCTAGGAAATGCACTCGGCAAACATTTACCTCATCCATTAACGCTGCTGTGTCTTTCTGGCTCTTTGCATCAGAGAAGGAGGAGGTGCTGGAGTACGTTTTAAGCATTCGTTCCAGGCCTGAAAATGAAATCATGTTCTCAGTCACCTTTCACACTGTCTCAGTGGGACACAGCCAGGAGTCGGTCGCTCTCAAAGGGAGCCTAGAAGTGATACCAGTGAGATTTTTTTTTTTTAAGACGGAGTCTTGCTCTGTCACCCAGGCTGGAGTGCAGTGGCGCGATCTCGGCTCACTGCAACCTCTGCCTCCCAAGTTCAAACAATTCTCCTCCCTCAGCCTCTTGAGTAGCTGGGATTACAGGTGTATGCCACCATGTCCGGCTAATTTTCGTATTTTTAGTAGAGACACAGTTTCATCATGTTGGCCAAACTGGTCTCCAGCGCCTGACCTTGTGATCCACCCGCCTTGGCTTCCCAAAGTGTTAGGATTATAGGCGTGAGCCACAGCACCCAGCCACCAGTAGGGTTTCTTAAATGGCTGAGGGAGTCTCTGCAGGTAGTTCTTAATAAATTTGACTGAATGATAAATGAACTGTTTACCTTTCTCTTCACTTAATGAAATTTGAGAAGTGCTGGTGCTTAAAGCATCTTGATTGTTATTTTTCCAGATGAGATTTTGAAATTCTTTCAGTCGACCCATTCTAGCAATTGCTAACAGTTACCCAACGTTGGCTTCTTCCTCGTTATGGTATTCACATCACTAAATGTTTTCTATCTTGAATTTGCTCTCTAGTATTCCATTGCAATGAGTTATCGTGGTCCATATAAAACAAGTTACTAGGTAGACATCAGAGTCACAAATGTGGAGTCGTTTTTGTCATCCTTGTTGCTTTAGAGCTGCTTCACAGTCTGACATGCCTAACTTCTACGTACAGAATTTAATTTGAAAGGTTTTTACATTGTTTCAAAAGTCAAAAGAAACAAACCAAAAAACTCATCCAAAACTCTCATGCACAGTTGGTTGACCATGTTTTAAACCAAACACATTATCTCTCATTCTAGCCAATTTCAGAAACACAGTTAAAATGCTACATTTCTGAAAATAGTAGTATAATACTTATATAGGTTTCATAAATAGACCAAAATGTGATTTTCCTTTTTTTTTTTTTTTTTGGCTTTCTTTTTTCTTCTACTTTTTTTTTTTTTTGTTCACACAACTGAAGTTTGATATATGGTTCTTTAAATGAGAAGACCCCTGCCAAATAGCAAAAGCAGATCAATCCTAACTCTGAATGAAACCTCTGAGCATCATATGGTCCCTTTTCTGGCCATTCAAAGAGATGGTTACACACCTTCCTTGTCTTTTGAGGCTTTTTCAATGTCTCTCTGCAGTCTCAATAATTTTGGTTTTAGTAAAGACTTTCGTCTCTCTTTATCCATTGCACTGTTAGGATCTTCTTCCTTTAGGAAAAAAGAAGGATGTCTAACAAGGGGGAAGAAGTAAGAGTTGCTATTCCCTGTCCATTCTGATACTTCCACTGGCTGCATTTAATTTTAACTTTATAAAATAAAACAAAATTTTTAAGCAGGATAATCTTTAGTTTTACACACATTGTTCTACCTGTTCGAGACCTGATGAATAAGAAAATATTGTCTTGTTCACAACTTTTAAGTCACATGGCCGAGCACTTTTTAATAGAGCAGATTGTTCTTTGAGGATGGACCCTTGCTATAGCTATTTCATTTTCTTGATAAATCTATTTGTTGTATACTTACTGCTTCCTTATTTACTTTTGTTCAAGTTAGAGTCCTTTAATGGCCCAAATGTAATATCATGTATGTGTTTCAGGCTATGACTGCCTCAGGAGTGGAAGACATTTTGACTGAGTTCTGTGTTGGCTCAGTACTGGGAAGATGTGAGCTAAAACACATATGCTCTTTCCAGAATGGGTTTATGATTTAGTTAGGCCTTGAAGCATAACATTAAAGAAACTAGCAATACAAGACCACATGCATTCGCGAATGCTACAGACACCACGAGTGCAGGCAGCTGACAGCTTCGAGGAGGCAAGAAGACGTAACTGTCTAGTCAAGGAAAGATGGCAAAGGGCACTCCAGGCAGGAAAAATGGCGGGAGCAAAGGGCTGGGGGAGGACTGTGGGAAATGTGTCAGGAACAATAAAGACACCTGTTGCATGAGCAAAAAAATAGGGGAAGAAAAAATTGTTCAGGGAGTTGAGGCTAGATTTTAGGGCTGATGTAGGAATTTTATCACATAGGCTATGAGGAATCATTCATGATATCTGAGCTTTCACATGCATTATTTCAAGGATTGAATAAAAAAGAATAGGATGGTAGAGTTGGAGTGAGGAGGTTGCTAAACATGAGTGGCAGAGGGACAGAAACCCATGGAGAAAGACGGGAAACTAATGACTCAAGGTGGGAGGGGAGGATGCAGGCTTCGCTGATAAGGAAGGAGAAAAATTAGGATCCCGGCTGAGAGATTACCTTTAGATGGAGCTTCACAAACAAGAAGTGTGAGGATTTAGAGCAAAGGGAATAGCCTCTATAAAAACATATACAGATAAAAATATTTTATTTACATATTTTTCATTGCACATTACAAAAGTGTCTTTATATTCTGGGCCAGGTGTGGTGGTTCCCACCTGTAATCCCAGCACTTTGGGAGGCCAAGGTGGGTGGATCACTTGAGGTCAGGAGTTCGAGACCAGCCTGGCCAACATGGTGAAACCCTCTGTCTACTAAAAATACAAAAAATTAGCCGGGCGTGGTGGTGTGCACCTGTAATCACAGCTACTTGGGAGGCTGGGGCAGGAGAATCACTTGGACCCGGGAGGCAGAGGTTGCAGTGAGCTGACATTGTGCCACTACACTCCAGCCTGGGCCACAGAGCGAGACTCCGTCTCAAATAAATAAATATTTCTTTATATTATTTATTACATGCAACTCCTACAACTCAATGGTTGGTTTTATTTTCCTCATTTTACCTGTGACACAGATAAAAGAAGGCCCAAGTTGACCCCAAATGCTCTACCACTCCTTCACATGTCATCCCACAGCTGAGGCGCAAGCTGACATCACACCCCCAAGTAAACTCTGACTAAACTGCTAAGACACCTAACTAAAACCATTAGTCCTTCCCTGTTGAAGGAATGCAAGTCATAACATAGCTCCCATACCAGTCCAAGGCTTCCCTTGGTTTGTCTGGGGACATCTATTGTTTAAACATGTATTTCCAGGGATAGATTGCTCCTGGGTCAATTTCAGGATGGGGTATATTGCCATCATTTAACTCTTAACATTTGTCCTTCTCTTCTAAAGATTTGTTAGAAAGAAGGTCAGTACTGGAGGAGGCGTATAAAATTACAGATAACAATCTTTTGAACATGGCATTTATGGTAACCTTACAAATATTTTCACCAGGTCACCAAGCCCTCCAAGTTTTGCACTCAGATTGGTCTCTTTGTTGTCCCTGGTCCATGTAAATTTCATAACACTGGATAAAAACCAGCCTACACTTATTGACAATGACTATAAAGTCAGATATTGGGGTGCTTTGCCTTAAAGATGTCAAGAAAATACTATTCACTCATTTTGAGACACAGTCCTTTCTCTTAGACAACAGATTCATGGTTGTGAGTTCTGACACAGTGAAGTTTTATAGAAACCAAAAATTTCCCTGAACATGCCAATAAATGAGAAGTCATCATGGCTGCCTCCTTACACTTTGGTAGAACCCTAGTCAAATTTTCAAGAATAATCCTCATTTTATTGACAAGTTATTTGATAGGGGCATTTTTATTATTCTTTGTAAGAAAATAGATTTATTTTATTGTACATTTTTCCATCTCAGGCCCTGCCTACATTATTTGAAAGAAAAAAAGCGCTTTCCCCATGTAATCAAATCATTTCCACTTCCATTTCTACCTTGTTTCTGCATTGAACAGACATTGATATTGCTAATATACTTCTCCTTTGCCAAGGTAGGAAAAAAAAGACTCAGTAAAAAATAGCTGGTCATTTGCTGCTGTCTGAAGGGTGGGGAAAGGGAAAGCCAATCAGGGTTTACTGCAGTGCCTGATCTAACCACCTCTGCCTTCTACCCTCTTGTTGCCTGATCAGAGGTCCAGGGAGGTCAGCTTTGGCTGTACTTCTAATCCTATGGAGGACATGACCAGTGGGCTTGTTCTCCATATCAGAGAAGAGTGACACCCCTAATCTGGAGCTTGAAATCCTGAATAAAATATGGCAGAGGACCCAGGGAAACGCTATCAGAATTCTTTCTGCAGGTTTTGGTAATTAATAATCAGTTCCTAGAACACTACAATTAAGAATATCAAGAGGGGAGCAGAGGCCAAAATCTTTGAGGCTTGACCCAGAAGGACAAATAATTTGCCCCAATATAGCAAAGGGGCAACGTGCTTGGGCTCTCACCAGGGACACTGACCAGTTTTCAGCAAAAACACCCACAGTAGAATCACTCAAGTACCCTCAAAATAAGCCTCCGATAATCTGGTCCAAGGTTTTCAAGAGAAGGGACCATGAAAAATACTGATAGTGACTCCCACTTCCTAGAACCCATGCCTTTGGGTGATCTTCCCTCACACCCACCTTTGAGTATGGGCTGCACTTACTGACTTGCTTCTAGCAAATAGAATATGATGAGATGTCACTTCTGAGATTAGCTTACAAGAGATTATAATTTCTTGGGCACTCTGGCTCTGTCTGTCTTGATCACTCATTTTGCGGGGAGTAGGCTGAGACATGGAGAGACCCACATGGCAAGAAAATGATATCTCCAACCAACAGCAGCGAGGACTGGAGGCCTGCCAACAGCCCTGTGAGTCAGCTTGGAAGTGAGTCTTCTGGAGGAAGAGCCTGGAGATGTCTGCAGCCCAACCTGATACCTTGATTGCAGCCTTGGGAGGGGTTCAGAGACACCTGGCTAAGACACAACTGAATTCCTGACCCACATAAACTATGAGATAATACATGTTTGTTTTAAGCCATTATTTTGGTGGGGGTGGGGAGCGGTAATTTGTTGCACAGCAATTTGTGCAGACAACCAATTTAAGCACCACGTGATATACAGTGATTAATTATAGGTCATTGAAACATGTCTGCCTGGCACTACTTTTATAGAAGACCGAATATGAAGATTCTGTTTAAAACCCTGCTTGACTTTCTTTACTTCTAGAAAATACCAAAGACATGTTTCCATTGTACAGTTTGTAAACTAGAATGCTGGGTTTTTTAAATTTATATGGGGTATGAGAAATCATTTTCATTGATAAAACATGATATTTGCTTTCAATTTTTTCAATGTAAGTCCCTCAGTACCTAAGATTCTCCATTAATGTAACTTTTTTTTTCCATTTCATACTCACAAAGTAATCCGTTAACAGGAACTCAGATTTGTTTTCTGTAGATAAAATTGCAGTTTCTTCCATTACAGCCTGGATATCTTTTTCAATGTCAATCTTGCTGATGGCACAGTGAATCTGCGTGTGGCACTGCAATGCCAAGGGGAACAGAATAAGGTTGTCGAAGAAAGGTTTCTGCCCCTTCTTACCAGGCATACCAGAAATGGAGAGATCATCTCTACTCACTGTGGTCAGGGTTTGGCCAAAAAGAGAAATATGTTGGCTGTACTGGTTTAAGTTATTGCATAAAAGTTGAATTCTTTCCTTCTCCAGCTCCAGAATGCTCTGAAAAGAATGAAAATTGGGGTAAGATCAGCCAGTTGTTACGCAAAATGGAAGTCACTCATCAAACACTGACACACCTGAAGACAGACTGAACAAAGTCTCATGATTAGCCTCTTGACTATGTCATATCCAAACCATAGTGGAGGGAGATTTCCAGGAAGGAATATGTCTTGGTATCTTAAATCACTCACACACTTTCCCCAGGCTCTTTTGACCCAAAAGGCATATAGGCAGATGCTGTGGGTTACCTAAGTTTATGAGGAAGGGGGAGAAAAGAAGAAAAGGAAGCATTTGAGACACAATCATGGATTCCAGAGAATTCCAGAGAATTTCAGTAGAGATGGGGTTTCACCATGTTGGGCAGGCTGGCCTTGAACTCCTGACCTCAGATGGTCCACCTGTCTTGGCCTCCCAAAGTGCTAGGATTACAGGCATGAGCCACCGCGCCTAGCCAGGCCTTGTTTTTACAAAAAAAAAAAAAAAAAAATTGGGAAGAATTCCAGAGGGTGAAGCCCAGGAAAGCCCATATCCATGTCTTGGAAATGCATTGAGACACCCAATAGTTTTAGAATTGTTTATAGTACATTCAAGGCGTTCTGCTAGTCTGCAGGGAAGAGAATGACAGGCCACAAATTCTCTGTTTAAGGAGGTTATTTGACAAGAGAAGAATCCCAAAGTCTGACCAATTTATAATTCTGCCTAAAATTAGGCCTGGGAGTCAGAGTCCGCTGTTTGCAGGTAGACACATAGCCTCTTTATTTTGTGTGAGATGACAGAAGTTTCATTATTAGACTTATGACTTTTAGGTAGGAAGGGTAAATAAGAAAGTGAGGGGAATCACATTTGCTTTGTTAGCTATTAACATTTTAGAGGCCGGGCACAGTGGCTCATGCCTATAATCCCAGCACGTTGGGAGGCCAGGGTGGGAGGATCACCTGAGGTCAGGAGTTTGAGACCAGCCCAGCCAACATGGTGAAACCTTATCTCTACTAAAAATACAAAAATTAGCCAGGCATGGTGGCACACGCCTGTAATCCCAGCTACTCAGGAGGTTGAGGCAGAATTGCCTGAACCCAGGAGGTGAAGTTTGCAGTGAGCCGAGATCATGCTACTGCACTCCAGCCTGGGTGACAAAAGTGAAACTGTCTCAAAAAAAAAAAAAAAATGAGAAAATGTTACTTATTGGACCCATGCCAACTGAGTTGCTGACTGGTGGTTTTACAGGGGGCAGAAAGCTTTAGCAACTAAGCATTCTTAGAGAAGGCTGGCTCAGGCAGAGTATTCAGGGAGACTCCAAGGCCATGTGGGGGCAGTGTAAGGCTGCTGGGTATGTGCCCAGGGGACTTTGGGCTTTGATGGAGATGGCAGGTGTCCAAGACAAAATTCTTCCCATCTTTTTTTTTTTTTTTTTTTGTAAAAACAAGGCCTGGCTAGGTGCGGTGGCTCATGCCTATAATCCCAGCATTTTGGGAGGCCGAGACGGGTGAACTACCTGAGGTCAGGAGTTCAAGGCCAGCCTGCCCAACGTGGCAAAACCCCGTCTCTACTAAAAATACAAAAATTAGCCAGGCCTGGTGGCGGGCGCCTGTCGTCCCAGCTACTCAGGAGGCTGAGGCAGGAGAATCGCTTGGACCTGGGAGGTGGTGGTTGCAGTGAGCTGAGATCATGCCACTGCACTCCAGCCTGTGCAAAAGAGTGAGATTCCATCTCAAAAAAAAGAAAAGAAGAAAGAGAAAGAAAGAAAGAAAAAATACAAGGCCTGGGCATTCATCCTTTTATCCAGGGAAGTCCAGCTCAGTTGCTCTCATACCCACCATCCCAACTCCTGCATCCCACAAAGAGCACCAGCAATCATCTTTCATGAACAAGGCTTTGGAGAAGTTGGTGGGTAACACGACCATAGGGAAGAAGAAAGATGGGTATGTCTCAAGGCCCTTGGCAGTGCAAGAGAGGTGAGAATGGAGAGTCACAAAGATCACTGGGTTCTCCTTGCTCACCTCTTGAAATTCCTACAGGAGCCCATTGGCCTGATTCAGTATGGTATTCCTCTATATCCCTGTGTTGTTAATTCATCTATGGTATATGGTGATTAAAATTATTTTAAATTTCTTTATACTTTTAATTATGGTAAAATTTACATAATATGACATGCCATTTTATCCACCTTAGGCATCCATTTCAGTGTCATTAAGTGCATTCACATTATTATGCAAACACCACCATAATTCATCTCTAAAACTTTTTTCATCTTGCAAAAGTAAACCGTACCCATGAAACAACGACTTCTCATTTCCTACGCTCTGCATCCCCTGGCAACCACCATTCTACTTTCTGTCTCTACAAATTTAACTACTCTTGATACCTCTTACAAGAGGAATCATACACTACTTGTTCTTTTGCATCTGGCTATTTCACTTAGCATAATGTCTGCAAGGTTCATCCATGTTGTAGCATGTGCCAGAATTCCCTTCCTTTTTGGCTGAATAATATTCCATGGTATGCATATACCACATTTTGTTTTTTGGTATATAGTCATTTGAACACTGCTTGCAAATGAAAGTAGTAAAAGGCTCAGGCAGTAACTATGAACATCTGTGCCAATCACATGCAACTTTAGCTTTTGTATCAAGTGTCCTGACATTTGGATTGGAAGCCTGGAGCCACGCCCCCATGGCAATCTTCTTAGTTGCCTCTGAAGCTGCCCAATTTTCATATGTCAATGGGAGTCAAATGGATTGGTTTACGCTGGCAGTCCCCTGAGGCTTTCACAAAATTGCAGGCACCAGTCATTTGAATGTGGCCGTCTGCCCTTCTGTCTCCCAGATAAAGGATTAAAGACACAGAATAGCCTATCAAATGTTTTGCTTCTTAAAAGGCAGAATCGATATGCCTCATAACAAATACGTAAAACAAATTCTGCTCAGTTGTTTGGATCTCCTATGTGACAATCTTCAAAAAGAAGAAGTCCTTACCCTATAGAAAAAGATCTAGAAATCAGCTCTTCTGTTTTAGCCTATGAGCAAGAGAGAAGAGAAAATAAAAGCCAGGTTTTAGAACATATTGCATCCCTAGTGGGCAGGTGTTTCTTTACTTTGACAAGTGCTGAACCACTAGCATCAATCTGAGACTAGAATAACCAGTGTTCCTTAGTGACATGGTAATGCTTAACAGATTTTAATTACATTTCAGGGAAATCATTAAAATGATCTATGTTTGCTCATAAGAAGAGGAGGAAATAAATTCCACTGTGCAAAGGAGAGATCCATATCTAATGATTTTTTGCTTTTTATTATCTTGTTCTTTTTATATAAAATAGGTGGTAGAGAAGCAAGATACTCTGGAGGACCTCAAACTGTCCTCTTGAGGTTCCACAATAGTATATATGAACAAAGTGTGGTCAAGGAGTTATCCAGAAAGATTCAGATTTCAGCAGATTTAGAGCCTGTCTGGGGCCCAAGCATCATGACAATTTGTTCTTCATTCGTTCCTTCCAGTTCTTGCTGTCCTAGCCTTTGGGCTGGTACTACAGGAAGAAGTCAAAGGGATTTTGTTTTCATTTAAATGACTCTCATAGAACTGATAAAAGAAATATGCTCTTTCTAGAGCAGGGACTCTCAAACTTTAGAATATCTAGACCCCTCTTTATAATCATTCAGAGGCTCTGATTGATTCAGAGGCTCCCAGGTCTAGGGAGGTGATCAGGAATCTGACTTTTAAGCACCCCAGGCGCTTTGAGACATTGTCCTAGGGCCACAGAGGCCCACAAAAAATACATTTTAAAATCATAATTCTTCCACCCAGAAGTGACTGCTATTAACATATTGATATATTTCAGTCTAGGTATGTGTATATGTATGATTTTATCTTCTAGTTATCTATCAAATTATTCAAATTTGAAATTCTGTTTTTTCCACTTAACCGTACATGTGAACAGTTTCCCGTGCCATTAGTCTCTGAAAATACCACTTTAATTATTTCATAAGCATCCATGGTGCAGGCGTGTTTATTCACTTAGTCATCCCTTTAATGTTGGACATTTGGGATGTTTGCTGCCTTTAACATGTTTCAAATAGAAATCTGTGTCTGGTTTGTCAGCTACTTCCTCAAGACACTTTTATAGAAAGGAAATTACCTTTTTCAACAGAGTCCTAGGAAAGAATGAAGCCCTACTGTCCTGAGGCGTCCATTTTATGTAATGAGTTGTCATTCGTCTCATCTAGAGTGGGACTACTCAAGTGCCATCCTTGGGAGAACTGAGAAAGCAGCCACTCGAATCATTTTCTGTGTTCTGGGATTTAGAGGAGGAACACTGGTTGAGAAAGGGAATATTTTTAAGGCTCTTGACACATATTGCAGATGGCTTTTAAAAATAATTCCTTGAGTAAGTACTTCAGTACCAAGCATTTGATTCTTTGTAATTCTTGGTAGTATGGTTATTATTGTGAAAAATATAGGTTATTTCTATCATCTGAAGTGTTTCTTCTTGGAGGGTGGGATGTGGCTAGAATACAGTATGATTGTGAAGTAATAAGACTAATTTTGACATGTGGTTTGTGGAATTGGTTTCATTACTTATAGTCACATTTGAGGCTTTACAATATTTCTCACAGTATCTACTACACTGCCTTGAATGTAGTTCAATGCATGTTCTCTGAAGGAATTTGTACATCCAACCTGTAGAGTAAAAAGGAATAAGAGAACACTTCGTAGGACCCTAAAATGAATTTTTATATTCAATTTGTACAGAAGAATGGTGAAAGAATGGAGAAAAAATGAAACTGAGAGACCCTAACTGTCCCATTTCCATCTCTCACACTTATAATAAAATTCCTCTTTGAGTCAATTCAGGCTGTTTTTGTTATATGTCTTCATGAATCTAACATTTGACACTTGAGTGCCATAAACATACACAAAATATGGCATACATAGAGTAATATGTGAGTCAATGACCTTCTGGTATAGACTGAGTATACACAAGCCCAGGAAATACCAACTAAGGGCATCATTATTGAGGGTTCAAGTGAAGCAAGAGTGACTGGACAGAAGTCGTCTCACGTTGTGGCTAATGGGCTTGAGATGGCTCTCAGGAGGCAGGAGAGAACTCAGAGGAAGGTGGGGTAGGAGAAGCTGTATGAACTAAAAAGGACACGGACTGAAACACTGGTGGCCTCCAGCATAGAGGTAGCAAAAATCCAGGATACAAGAGGGGAGAAAGAAAATGCTCTTCCTCAAGGACATTATGATGAGTAGATATTCCATGTGACTTGGATTCTAACAAAAAAAAAAAAAAAAAGGAAGAAAAAAACTAAAACTAGGTCTTAAATATTTTTAGAGCTGAAGTTGAAAGATGCCTTTTGAAATGTAAATGAATGTATACCTTGTTACCATCAGGAAGACTGTAAGAAAAGAGATAATTTCCATGATGCTTCAACATAAACACTGGGAATGCTGAGAAGGGGGAGTGGTGGTTGTAGGGGAAACATGTAGAGGATCTTAACAGGAGGAAAGGAAACTGAGATGAAGGAGAGGCGTAGCAAGAGCTTCTGATAATGAAGATAATCATAGCCTTCCCTAACATATATTGAAGAAGGCAAGCTAGTTATCAGCTACACCAGGTAGGACCCATTTATCTCCCATTGCTGCGATGTAGGTAGAAGGGTGATGAGGATAGAGACACTGAGGTGAAATATTTTTCTCATAGCCCTTGAAGGGTGGGTGCCTGGAAGATGGAGTGGGAGCAGAAATGTCTCTCCCATCTCCTAACAGGGCCATCCAAGGAAGCTGACCTCAGTGGAAAGACCACGGCTTCATCAGGAAGTGATGAGGTGAGGTGAGGCAAGATCAGAGCCCAGGTTGCAGAGCCAGATTTCAAATGAATCAAGTTAGAATTTAAATCCCTGACCTTTTCTCATCACCTTCATCTAAAATCTATCTAGCATAAACCAAGAGAGTACCCGGAGCTTATGTTCAAAGGTGTAAATTAAGGAATTTTTTCTCATTTGTTCCCCTCTTTGACCCAAGTTTTCATCTCTCCTTTAATTTCCCCTTTCTTCTCTAATTCTGCATCTATCCTGCTCTGAGTGGTTGAATTGCAAGAGATGTAAATGCAGCCGTTGGGTTTCCGCCTGCCATATAGCCTTTGCTCTCCCAGTTTTCAATGGGGCAGGAGCATAATGCAGAGGTCCAGGCTGAATCTTTTTTTTTTTTTCTTTTTGAGACGGAGTCTTGCTCTGTCGCCTAGGCTAGTGTGCAGTGGCATGATCTCGGCTCACTGCAAGCTCTGCCTCCCGGGTTCACGCCATTCTCCTGCCTCAGCCTCCCGAGTAGCTGGGACAACAGGCGCCCGCCACCACGCGCGGCTAATTTTTTCTATTTTTAGTAGAGACGGGGTTTCGCCGTGTTAGCCAGGATGGTCTCGATCTCCTGACCTCTTGATCCGCCCGCCTCTGCCTCCCAAAGTGCTGGGATTACAGGCGTGCCGCCCAGGCTGAATCTTAAACCATCTCAGGCTCATTGCTTCATCTTTCCAGCCTCAATGTTCTCATAATGTCATGATTAATACAAAACAGAAACACATGAATGTGCTTAGCACAGCCTAAAAGAGGAGCACTGAGCACCAAGTACTTGTTCCAGGCTGGCCATCAGATCATGGCTTTCTCCAATTGTATCTGCTTTAAACATTTTTTTTTTAAACTTAAAACAGGTGGGGAAAAATAAAACCAAAATATTCATGTTCTTACTCTCCAGAATTGATAGTTATTTAATTTGGTCATATTTATGTAGAGCCTGGGGTTGTACTGCTTCACCAGGGGCCGTGCATAAGCTGCGTGGCTGTTTCTGGCAGTTCTGTTGTATTCCCACCATGGGCTCCATTTCTGTCACTGAACACAGGGACAGTCCCCATGTATAAGTTTACAAACACACACATATAAACTCAGTATAGTTTGCGCATGAGTTTAAAAGAATGTTGATTTACACAGATTGTGTAAGTGGTATATTTCTTTTCCTCAACATCATGTTTTTCGAGGTTAATTCATGTTTAAATATAGTTTTAATTAACTTTTCATTGATGGATATTAGTTCACTTTCCAAATGCGAGCATATTTGAAGAGTAATTCTTCTCTTGATGGATATGAAGATTGCGTACAGTTTTTTCTCACATGCAATTATAAACAATTCTCCCATAAACATTCTTGTGCATCACTCTTGGAGTACAAATGTACATTTTTCTGTAGGATATATGCCTAAAAAGGGAACTGCTGCAGTAAGTACATGCTTATTTTAGTTTCACTAAATATCATTAAATTATTCCCCCTACAGGGGTACAATAATTCTTGTTTCCTAACATCCTTACCAACACTTGATATTGTCAAGTTCTAATTTTTGCCAAATAATCTAGCATTGTTTCATAGGCTTATCGATGATTTTGATTTCTCCTTTTGTGATGTGCTTGCTGACATATTTTGCCCATTATTATCAGATAATTTGCCACAATTCCTTCTTTATGTGTCTACTTTTGCCACTGAGATGTACACATCTCAAGCATTGAGATGTTACTTTATTCAATGCTCTGTATCTCCAGTGCCTAACACGATGCCTGACCTCCATAAGCGATCACTGTATGAGTCATCACTCATGCCTAAAACTAATTTTGAAGCACCTAACACTTAAGCCTTAATTTACGCTTCACTTTGACAGCACTTTTTGAAGTTAGCTGGGTGCTATCCTGTCCACTAAGAATTAGGAGCAGAAACTCTGGCCAGTGAAATTCAATAAATTGTCACTGGTAATTGTATCCATGGAGAAACTGAAACAATGAGAGGAAATGTGGTTTGTCTGAAGTCACAATATGTGTGATGCTCATAGCTAAGACAGAGGGCAGGTCTTGTCACTGTAATCTGACCTCCATCTTCAAGGTCACACAAAGCTCCACAGAAGAAGAAAAAAATGTGAATATATAACTTACCTGGTAGCAGTTCTCTAGTGTGTTTTCCCATTTCAGTCTGGTAGAATAACCCGCCATGTTTTTTTGGTAGTAATTTTCATCTTCCTTTTCCAACTTTTCAGTTGATTTTGTCAGTTTATTGAGGAGCTAATGTAAAACATCAATGTCACACATTTACTAACACATTTTTGAAAGCCCTTTGTAATTCCATAGTAATAATTATATGTGGCTCAATGATATGTTTCTCACCTCTCACGTAGAGTCATAAACAGTGACTATAGTTGACAAAATGAAAGATCTTTATAAGAAAAAAAGGCATGGCCAAACCTAAAGGAAACCCAAGGGCCTTCCAGTATGATTCCCCCAATTTTACACATGAGGAGATTGAGACCCTTAAATAGGAAGTGATTTGTCTACACTCACACAGTCAAGGAGAAGGTCAAACAACACAGCTTTTGAGAATTGACAGTACAGGTCAAGATTGCAATTGGCCAATGAATCCCATAGTCTTATCTGGTAAATCTTTTGGGCTCCTGCACTTCTTACCAGGTTAGGTAGAGACTTGTGGAATCATACAATTTTTAGAACTAATTTTTAGAATGAGTCTGGCTACTGTCCTATCTAGCGATATTATTTTACTTTTACTATATAAACCCAGAAGTAGAGCTTTGGAATCAAACTTCCAGGATAAGAGTCCTGGTCCTAGCTGCAAACAAGTTACTTAACCTTACTGAGCCACAGTTTTCTCATCTCTGTGATGGGGATAGGTAATTAATACATACCGGGTTGCTTTGAGAATTCAGGCACATCTTGGGACTCAGAAAACAATACCACAAAATCAAGGCCTCAGAAGCAGCCTCAGAAGTAAAAGTTTCTCTCTGACCTTCTTCTGCCCTCCTGTCTCTCACTCCCATTCTCCCCTGAGGCTATTGGTAGAAACCAGAATCCCTCTTCCCCAAAGAAGGTCACAGAAACCAGAACCTCTTTTCTCCAAAGCCAGCCATAAAATCTAAAAATATTAGTCTCACTTTCCCCTGCCTTTCTGTGTAAAAACTGTCCATAAAGAAATTATCTGACCTACCTTGTCTGACTGTAGATCATAAGACCCCTATTCCAGAGAGGATCCTGCCCCATTCCCAGCAGGAAGGAAGGCTGCACAGAGAGGCCAAGAAGACTCCAGAAAGACAGCCTTACTGGGTTTCCCCACACAGTCTATTAGCATTAGATTACACCCCTTTTGTACATAATATTTGTACATGGATGTCCGTATTTTGTTAAACCTAAGCATAAACATAGACAAGTTCCCCTGTATATTTGGAACTTCGTTCTGAAGGCTCCCATGTCACATAAAACTATGATCAAATACATTTGTATGCCTTTTCTCCTATTCATCTGTCTCTTGTCAGTGATTTTCAGCCAAACTTCAGGGGCAAAAGGGAAGATTTCCCTTGGCCCTGACATAGGTAACACAGATAAGGCAAATGGCACACTGCCCAACACCTGGCATAGCACTCAAAATTTAGCGAGTGTAATTATTGCCAGTGAAAAGCCTGAGATACATGCCCAATGTTCACTGCAAGTTATGGACAGCTTGATAAGATGGTTTCCTCTCATCCTGCTCCCCAATGATCTGCTCCCTTACAAAGAGCCCCCCTCTTGCCCATCACCAAAATTTGTCATTCTGATTACTAAATCTTCTGGAAAATCAGTGTACAGTAATATAAAACTCCCTGGGCCAGGGTAGCTGAAACTGACTCTCAAAATGCCCAGACAAGTAATTTCATGTTTCTGAAAAACAAAGAAGTTGGATTGCATGAATTATTCTCCAACTTTATATATATATATTTAAAGCATTCAATATCTTTCTTTTTCTTTTCTTTTTTTTTTTTTTTTTTTTTTTTTTGGAGACAGGGTCTGGCTCTGTCACCCAGGCTGGAGTTCAGTGACAGAATCATGGCTCACTGGCTCACTGCAACCTCCTTGTCCCGGGTTCAAGCAATGCTCCCATCTCAGCCTCCCAAGTAGCTGGGACTAGTTTTTATATTTTTTGCAGAGGTGGGGTTTCACCATGTTGCCCAGTCTGGTCTCCAACTCCTGGGCTCAAGCGATCTGTCTACCTCAGCCTCCCAAAATTTTAGGATCATGAGTGTGGGCCATCGCACCCAGCCGATTCTCCAACTTTACTCTATTTAGAAATGACCTGAAATGCTTGTAAAAATTACAAATTCCAGAATTCTACAAGTAGCAATACTTATTTCATACATCTGTAGTGGGATTAGAAAATCTGAGTTTTGACTATAGCTCCCCAGATCGTTCTGATGCAAATGGTCTTCAAACCATTCTTTAAAAAACATCAAAGATCCCCCCGGACTTAGTAGTTTAGGAGTTTCAAGGACAGAGACAAAGGCTGTTAAAATGGACTCTCTCTATTTAAGGGCATTTTGACTAACCTTACAATCATGAAAAACATTCATCCAAAATGTTGAACGTTAATACCATTCACTTTATTATTCCAATTGATACTAAGGCTATACAACTGTCCCCCAGCTCTGATGCATGACCTACACAGGACATATCTGTTTTTTTGTTTTTTTTTTTTTTTTTTTTTTGAGATGGAGTCTCGCCCTGTCCCCCAGGCTGGAGTGCAGTGGCACGATCTCAGCTCACTGCAAGCTCCGCCTCCGGGGTTCACGCCATTCTCCTGCCTCAGCCTCCTGAGTAGCTGGGACTACAGGTGCCTGCCACCACGCCCGGCTAATTTTTTGTATTTTTAGTAGAGACGGGGTTTCACCATGTTAGCCCGGATGGTCTCGATCTCCTGACCTCGTGATCCGCCCGTTTCAGCCTCCCAAAGTGCTGGGATTACAGGCGTGAGCCACCGCGCCCAGCTGACATATCTGGTTTTGTACCAAGTTTAATGAACCACATGTGTCTGTAGAAACTCAAGCTTGTGAACATTAACCTGGCAACAGTTCAATGCAAGGACTCAAAGAGAGTCATGGTTATACTCTGCTAAATCATTGTCCTCGGATTCTTATTGAGAATGCTCAGCACCCCAGGAATGAGAACTGAGTTGCTTTTGAGATCACCATTAATATTCATCAGCCTGCACTATAGAGCTGTGGACTAGAATTTTCTGCTCAGCAAATTTACAGCAGATAGTTCAAGTATATATATGAAAGAAGAATGTATACTCATACACACACACACACACACATATATATATATATATATATATTTTTTTTTTTTTTTTTGAGACGGAGTCTCTCTGGTCGGCCAGGCTGGAGTACAGTGGTGCGATCTCAGCTCACTACAACCTCCGCCTCTCAGGTTCAAGCGATTCGCCTGCCTCAGCCTCCCGAGTAGCTGGGATTACAGGCATGTGCCACCACGCCCAGGATTTCACCATCTTGGCCAGGCTGGTCTTGAACTCCTGACCTCAGGTAATCTGCCCACCTCAGCCTCCCGAAGTGCTGGGATTATAGGCCTGAGCCACTGCGCCCGGCTGTAGACTCCTGTATTCTTACTTAAGGAACTTCTCAGAAACCTTTACTAAAATTTGTCAAAGATTGACTTCTTTTCCTTTCGTCCCTTTTTTTGCTCTTGGAACAAACATCGCATTCATTTATTCACCAGACATTGAGGGCCTTCCGTGTGTCATGTGCAAGGCTTTAGGAATAGAAAATGGAACAAGACAGGCTCCCTCTCTAGTCAGGGACCCACAGACCATTACCATCTTGTGTGCTGATAGAGTTATGTAGGTACCACTGGAAGGACATCAAGAGAGGCATCTAAACTAGCCTTGAAATTAAAATGACATTTAAGCTATAATTTGGCTCATAGTAAGTGCTCAAAAATCGATCTCCATATGAATAAAACTAAAATGAAAGTAGGAGTTGGTGAGGCAAAATAGTATGGCAGGATACAGAAAGATATTTTTTGGTGAAGTTGGATCACACAGCTTACGACGGAGAATGGGGAGAGGTGATGTTGAAGAGATTGGCAAGGTTCAAGTCAGGAAGGGTCTTACAGGCCACATGAAAGAGTTTTTCCTGGCTGGGTGTGGTGGTTCACGCCCGTAATCCCAGCACTTTGGGAGGCCAAGTCGGGCAGATCACCTGTGGTCAGGAGTTCGAGAACAGCCTGGCCAACATGGTGAAAACCTGTCTCTACTAAAAATACAAAAAATTAGCTGGGCATGGTGGTGAGTGCCTGTAATCCCAGCTACTTGGGAGGCTAAGGCAGAATTGTTGAACTTGGGAGGCAGAGGTTGCAGTCGGCCCAGATTGCACCATTGCACTCCAGCCTGGGCAACAAGAGCAAAACTCCGTCTCAAAAAAAAAAAAAAAGAGTTTTTTTTATTTATTCTGAAGTCATTGGGAAGCCTTTGAAGGCTTTCAAAAGGAATGATATGCTCAGATTCGAGTTTAAGAAAAGTCAGCTTGGCTTGTACATGGGGAATAGATAGGAACAGGCAACACTGAAAGCAAAGAGACTGATTTGTTGGTTACAAAAAACCAAGCAAAAGATGATTGCGGCCTGAGAGAGGATGTCAGCAGTGGAGATAGACAAAAGCAAAGATATTCAAGAAGTATTTGGGGCTGGGCACGGTGGCTCGCGCCTGTAATCCCAGTATTTTGGGAGGCCAAGGCGGGCGGATCACTTGATGTTTGGAGTTCGAGACCAGCCTGGCCAACATGGCAAAACCCCATCTCTACTAAAAATACAAAAATTAGCCAGATGTGATGGCGCACGCCTGTACTCCCAGCTACTTGGGAGGCTGAGGAAGGAGGATCACTTGAAACTGGAAGGCAGAGGTTGCAGTGAGCTGAGACTGTGCCACTGAAGGATCTGGTTTGAGTTAGAATTGGGAGGATAGGTGGGTGATGATATTCAAAGACACAGAGAACACAGGAATAAAGATTATCTTTGGTAGAAAAAAAGTGATGGTTGGATTTTGGATATTGAGTTTAAGGAGTCAGAAAGCAGTTTACAGACTGGTTTGGACTGGAGATATAAATTTGGGTATTGCCAGCATAGATACTGTAGTTGAATCCTTGAGAATATACTTATTGAGTATGTATTATTTATCGAGTACCTGATATCAAGAGTACTGTATCAGACACTGGAGAGACAATGGTGAAGAGAATAGAGTGAGGCCCAGAAGAGAAATCTTCAGAAACTGCAATATATAAAGATCAGGCCAAAAAAGGGAGCCCATAAAGAAATCTAATTTAAAATTTACAGAAAGTAGGAGGAAAATAAAAGCATTAGTTGTTACTAAAGTGAAAAGAAGAGAATGTTTCTAGAAACGGGAAATAAACAATGCTTAATACTTCCGAGAAGTTAACTAAGGTAAGACTTGGAAAGTACCTGTTAGCTTTAGCAATGAGAAGACATTGTTTTCGATGGCAAGAACACTCTTAGTGGAAAGATGGGGAAAGCTTGATTAGGGTGATTTGAAGAGTGAACAGAAGATGAGGAAGTGGAAACAGAGCAGATAGATACCCCTTTCACTAAGATATATTGTGACCGGGCGCGGTGGCTCACGCCTGTAATCCCAGCACTTTGGGAGGCCGAGGCGGGCGGATCACGAAGTCAGGAGATCGAGACTATCCTAGCTAACTCGGTGAAATCCCATCTCTACTAAAAAATATAAAAAATTAGCTGGGTGTGGTGGCGGGGCCTGTAGTCCCAGCTACTCGGGAGGCTGAGGCAGGAGAATGTCATGAACCCAGAAGGCGGAGCTTGCAGTAAGCCGAGATCGCGCCACTGCACTCCAGCCTGGGCGACACAGCAAGACTCCATCTCAAAAAAAAAAAAAAAAAAAAAAAAAAAGATGTTAAAAAAGTGTATTATAAAAAAAAAAGATGTATTGTAAAAAGGAGACATGACAATATCTGGAGAGGAATGTGAGACCCCATAAATAAGTGTTCCTGTAACTTTCTTTACTCTTGCAAGATGGGAGGAAGATGCAATAGACTATTTGTGCCCTCCCACCAGATTAGGCCATGAGGGTGGAACCCTCATGAATGGGATTACTGCCCTTATAGAAGAGGCCCCAGGGAGCTTCCTTGCTCTCTTTCCACCACGTGAGAATGCAATGAGAAGTAGCCGGTCTGCAACCTGAAAGAGGAAGCCTCACCAGATAGCACCTGATCCCACACTTCCAGAATGTCTGCTGTTGAAGCCACCTCCATCTATGGAACTTGGTTATAGCAGCCTGAACAGACTATAAGACAGGGGGAGTTATAGAAGGCTGGTGGGGAGGAATCATTAGGGAGTGGGCTGTCCAAGATATGGGAAATATGGGATAATCAAGAGAGGGCCTCTGGGAGGCAGAATGGGATGAGATTAGAGCACAGGATGCAGAACTGGCCTCTCCATTGCAGATATGTAAATGCTATTACTTCAGTAGGCAGGTGGCTGTGCTGACTTCTATTTACTCTGTGAGGTAGGAGGCAAGATACTGTGCCAGGAGTGTGTGGATGGAGGTGTGAGGAGAACGGAGGTTTAGATCAGCTTCTGGTGGGAATCAAGACTGCTGAGCAGGAAACCAGGAAGAATTTGCTGAGCAGCACAGAGCATCAGCTCAGGTGATCATGAGCGCTTCTATGTGAGATGAGAAAATGAATGCCCCCCGCTTGGGTGTTCAGCTTCAGGATTAACAAAAGCTGCCAGATTAAGCAGTGAAGATGGCATGGGTGTATGACAGAGTAACAGCCAAGGTTATGGTTACCAGCTGGAGGAGAGGAGAGAGCACTGTGGATCTTTACTTCCCAGGGAAGCTGCTGATGGGGGTAGGAAGAGGAAATTCACCACTTAGCTGCCATGCTTTTTTCTTTATTATTGCATGACATCAATAAAGAATAGCTTCTAATGAGCACTCAGAATGCCTAGGCAGGTCCTGGCACTGAGTATTTTAACAGACTGGGTTCGCCTCTTCGGAAGCTGCCTCATTATTCAATACTTGTTATGATCATTTCCAACTGTGAAGACTGACATGGAAAGAAATAAGAGTCTTGTAAAATCTTGCTAACAATGAATTTAAGTTATTCAATGGATATTTCTTCAGATGAAAGAGCTACTGGTGATGACAATTTTCTCTTCCTTTGTAAGGGGTTTGCAGTGGTGCTGGTTGCATTTCCTTAGTGGAGACTCATCTTTTGTAGAAGATATCGACTATTTCAAAGGTTTTCAATCTGGGACACATACCACAAGAGGGGTGCAAGATAATCTATTGGGGTGTAAGCAGAAAATGTTCATTTTGTTCCTGTACCCCAATATTATTCGTGTTCATTTTGCCTGAAAACACAGTTGTCAAGCTTACTCTTATTTAATATATGAGTCTACACTGGTGCTCACACATGGACAGTTGTGGATTCTGATATGGCCTGGGGGAAGGGTGGGGATTCTGCAACCTGAAAAGCTGCCCTAGGCCCTCACTGTGTTTTCCCTTCCAGCATCTGGGACATGTGGCCATTGACATATACCTGGGCCATGTGATTTTACAGACATTTTCTGGCTCCAGTTAGGTTAACATACACAAAATGCACAAATATCTTAGAGGATTTCTGCCAAGAACCTGTGGATTGATGTTACTACCAACAATTTAACCACAAAGAATCCACAGCAAAATGTCCAAGCTGATGCTGCCACCTCTCCTGGTTGTGAGTTTGTTACTACCCACATGAAAGGGCAAACACTGAAATGAGATCTGACAAAAAATTTGATGAACAAATTACATTATCGAGAAGGCTGGCCAGGGGCGGTGGCTCATGCCTATAATCCCAGCACTTTGAGAGGCTAAGGCAGGAAGATCACTTGAGGTCAGGAGTTCGAGACCAGCCTGGCCAACATGGTGACACCTCGCCTCTACTAAAAATGCAAAAAAAAATTAGCCGAGCATGGTGGTGCACACCTGTAGTCCCAGCTACTTGGGAGGCTGGGGTGGGATAATTGCTTGAAGCCTGGAGTGGGAGGATGCAATGAGCCAAGATTGCACCACTGCCCTCCAGCCTGGGCCACAGAGTGAGACTCTGTCTCAAGAAAAAAAAAAATTATCAAGAAGACTATTCGAAATATGCATTTAAATTTACTATAGTTAAGGCTGAACCTTGCTCCAAGTATACATTTTTCCTGAAAACATTACTTAATGATTATCTAAAGACATCATGGTTTGCTAATCATTTAAAATATTATTTCATCTTTATTTCATCCTGGAAACATTTCTACTTTTATGCTTTATAATGTTCATAACATATTAACATAATACATAAAGTACTATATGTAACAAACAACATATATATAGTATTTATTTTTACTTATTTGGGGTATTAGCTGAGAGGTTTTTTTAAGATATTAATAGAGTTTCCTTTAAAAAAATGTGGGCATCATTGGTCTCATTTGTCATCTGTCAATAATATTTTTTAAAAATACATGTGGTCCAGGCAAAGTAGCATGCTCCTGTAGTCCCAGCTACTTGAGAGGCTGAGGTGGGAGGATCCCTTGAGCCTAGGACTTTGATGCCAGCCTGGGCAGCACAGTGAGATCCCTTCTATTTAAAAGAATTAAAATAAAGTTTAAAATGTATGTGGTGTGTGTGTGTGTGTGTGTGTGTGTGTGTGTGTGCGCGCGCGCGCGCGCGCACGCCAGTAATGATTTGGAATCCCCTTTTATGCTCTGTCAAGCTACATCTCTGCAGGAATCCCACAGAGAAGGAGGAATCAACCCGTTCTCTTGTGTTCGTAGCTAAGGGCAGCAAGTCCATCCCTCTCTATGGCACATGCGCCCAGCCAGCCATGACAGCTTACCTTCCGCTTCTCCTTCTCAGTCATAGATTGCTTGGAGCTTTCTACAAGCTGGAAAAGTGCTTCATGTTTCTTGGTACTAACCATTAATTTCTTCTTGGCCTAGAGTAAAAAACATACAAACAAGAAAAAAAGGAGCAGAGGCTGATGCCAAGAGAAAACTCTCCTCTTTTGGAACAAAGCACATTCATGTGCTAGCTTTAACAATTATGTATCCTAGAATCCTCCAAAGGCTGAAACAAAAATGTGTACTTTTAGTTCTTCATTCCCATCCTCACTTCAAAATGTACCTAAAACATCAGAGCAGCTAACACTTTGTCCGGAGAACTCCTGCATACTTTTTCATTATATCGGGTACCCTCAAGAGGATTTTGAATTTTGCTAAATCATCAAAGGCCTGCAAGCCTCCAAAATAATGTTCTAGTGAGCATAATGGCTTTACCACAGAAGATATCACAGCAAACACAGAAGACTGCCTGCATCATTCTTTACATCAACCTAGGCCACGATTTGAGATTGTTTTAAGATGTTCTCTTAAAACGTGCAGCAAGGGTCACAATTCTGCTCCCTGATGGCCAAGCCTGAGAGTTGGGCATTTGTCTGGCATCTTGTGAAATGCCCTGCACTTGCTGGAGTTGGAGAAGTAGAAAGAAGTAGGGAAGGAAGGAGCACTCAAGAGTCTCCCTACCCTGTTCATGCTGACCCTTTGGAGTGGGTTAGGATTTAGGGGATAATTTCCTAGTCTACATGGTTGAATTTAACTGAAGATGATGCTCCAGAGATAAATTATGCAAACAGAATTTGGTTTAAGTTGGATTTAGCCTGTTCAGGAAGTAGGCTGATTGAAAGACTTTGGCTTTTTGCCTCAAGGTTGCAAGGACTGTCAAACCAGATAGTAAAGGAGAGGTCTCTCTTCCTTGGCTTTTTAGCTTGGGAATCAAAGGCAAAGCCTTCTGCCTCCCTCTAAACGTGGGAAGCCTCTGCAAAGGAAAATTAAAGAAATAAGCTCATGGCCCTCTTTCTCCACCTCCCGTCAGCCACATGCCTGCTGGGAAATGAGAGTGTGACGCATGAATATTTGGTCCTTTAAGGCTTTTCATTAGAGTCTCCCAAATAGACTACTTCATTACTGACATGCTGAATCCCTTGAATTGTAACTGGGGAGAAAATTATTATAGCCCAATAATTTTATGTTCTCTAATTTCGCTGTCACTCTTTATTTAAAAAAATGAAATCTTTTATTTAAAAAAATGACTTGATAGAAACTGGGAAATGATAAAAGATGTTTTTTCTTGGGAGCAATTGCAGCCTCTCAGCATTATTTCTGGCTTTTGATTCATTGTACTGAATTCCTGTGAAAGCTGAATATTAAAAGAAAATGGATTTTTAAAAACAAATCCTTTTAAAGGCCAGGTGTAGTGGCTCATCCCTGTAATCCCTACACTTTAGGAAGCCAAGGTGGGCAGATCCCTTGTGCCCAGGAGTTCGGGATCAGCCTGGGCAACATAGCAAGACCCTGTCTCTATTTCTTTAAAAAAAATACAAAACAATTCCTTTTAAAGAAAACTCATAAAATCCATGGCAAAACTAAAAAGCAAATGACTGGATACTGTTTCTGGGACTTTACTTTTTATAAAAGTGATTCTCATGAGCATCCTTTTACCATTGTAACTACTGTGGATACAGAAATTCACTTACATCAAACACTTTTTATTAATGTCCTTGGTCTTATGGAGTCAGTCCTCAGTTTTGGCAGAAGCTTTGGAAGTAACACCAAGTTTGCCTGTCTCTGAGTGCGTCTGTCTCTAGTTATTTGGCATCAGTGGCTGTTTACTTGTAAAGGTTCTCTGTGGGCACTAACGCTTTGGAGATGAAAAAGGATTTCAACACTTAGAGAACAAGTCTTCTCAGAGGGGTTCATTGAATCTTGTTAGTAGATTTACTGCTAGTCCTTTCTACCTGAAATGAATTCCTCCTATACTACATTGTTCTAGAATAATCTTCTGTGCATATGGATCCCATCTGTTATTTTCTCTGCTTAAGAACTCATACAGATATGCTCTAGCTTCCCACGCCAGATCGTAATTCCTCCTAGAATGTATTCCCTATTTCCTGCACACGTCATCTAGCCAACTAAATTTTAAATTACTTGAAAAAAATTATGTCTTAGAATAGTGTTGTGCACAAAAAGTGGACCCCACATACTCATGAAATTGATATACGCATCCCCTTTTACATATCACTACCCACCCCTCACTGGGCCACTCTCACTAATGATGTAGAGATCACTAACACCTTTCTACAAATGAAAAAAACAAAACCCAGGTGGTGTTTATCATATTCTGTAAGTTACAAATTATACAGAAAGGTAGTCAGTATAATGGAATGATTAAGAGCAGTGACCCTGGAACCCAACTTGTGACAACCATTGGTTCAACCATTAACCAGCTCTGTATCCTTGGGAAAATTACTGAAACTCTCTGTGTCTCCATTGCCCAATCTGTAAAATGGGGCAATGCACAATGACATATGACATTGGGTTGTTGTGATGATTAAATACATAAATATATAGCACTTAGCACATAATAAGTGCTAAATAATCATAGTTAGAGCCATGCACTTCCATTGGTTTGGTGAAAAATATATCTGTGTAACAACCAGGTAAGGAAACATTTTTCTCTTCAGTTAGCACTTAGAAGTACTAATGCTAGAACATGTCATCGCATTTGTATGAAAGCAAAACACTTCAATTCTAAAAACTGAGTTTACACAAATGGTATTTGTGGATACTTGCCTTAATTTGCTGATTCCAGTTGCTAATGACAAGATTTGCTGTCTTTTCAACTTCATTGTCAAGCTATTGAAAAAGGAAAAAGGAAACAAAGCTTTGCTTTCTTCTTGTTTAGTTGCTGTAATAGACTAAATGTTCGTGCCCCTAAAATGTATCGATTGAAACCTATTCCCTCAATGTGATGGTATTTGGAGGTGGAGGCTCTGAGAAATGATTAGTTCATGAGGGTGGAGCCCCCATGAATGAGATTAGTGCCCTTATAAAAGAGACCCCAAGAGCTGCCTAGCCCCTTCTGCCATCTGAGGTTACAGTGAGTAAATAGCCACTGATGAACCAGGAAGTGGGCCCTCATCACACAGCTAATGTGTGGGTGCCTTGCTCTTGGACTTCCCAGCCTCCAGAACTGTAAGAAATAAATTCCTATTATTTATAAGCTATCCAGTTTATGGTACTTTGTTAGAGCAGCCTGAACTAAGACAGTCACAGTACTAGCTTATCAATCACTATTACAATTCATGGGAATTTCAAGATCTTACAATGGACATATTAGCCAAATTATCTTATCCCTGTGTCAAGTAACAGGACTTGGTAAAATAATTATTTCTAATCTATAAGAATGTAAAAAGCATGTAAACATGTGCAATCATGTGTAACAGGCCCTTGCATGAGCTGATATTGTTGCTAGTCCCATCACATCATCTTCCACGTCAATCCATGCAGCAAAAACCTCAACACTATGAAAACTGGTAACAGTCCTAACTGCCAGTTTTACTGTGTGTCTCCATTACCCCTGAAGTGAATATTGCTTTAATTTCAAAGATATTGAACTCTTAATCATAATTAACTTTTTCCCTTGCTTTTAAACAGCCAAAGAGACAGTAATAATAATGATGAAAATGATCTAGACAACTTCCCAGGGAGATCTGATGTAAGTTACAGCAGAATGTTTTTCCCTGGAACACAGACCCAGCAGATCAGCCGTTATTCAACCACTCTGAGATCTAGCGAATGCTACACTTTCATTTTTTTCCAGTTGGTTAAATTTAGAGTATATGGTTCATTGTAACAGACATAATGAAAATATTTCATGTACTATGCCACTTTTGATTTCACATATGTGTCTGGAATGTGGAACAAGGTCACTTTAGAAAATAAAATCTAATCTTTTATATTTT